>NC_000006.12:18847878-18999393 GCF_000001405.40 Homo sapiens
TCTTTTTCTTTCTTTCTTTCTTTCTTTCTTTCTTTCTTTTTCTTTCTTTTCTTTCTTTTCTTTCTTCCTTGCTTGCTTCCTTCCTTCCTTCCTTCCTTTCTCTTTCTTTCTTTCTTTCTTTCTTTCTTTCTTTCTTCTTTCTTTCTCTTTCTTTCTTTCTTTCTTTCTTTCTTTCTTTCTTTCTTTCTTCTTTCTTTCTCTTTCTTTCTTTCTTTCTTTCTTTCTTTTTCTTTCTTTTCTTTCTTCCTTCCTTCCTTGCTTCCTTCCTTCCTTTCTCTTTCTTTCTTTTTGTTGTTGTTGTTGTTGTTGTTGTTGTTTTCTCAGAATAAGGGTGGGTGAAAAAACTGGGATGCCTCTGCCCAGAAACCCTAGGGATAACACCGAAAATGAATAAAACTGAAAATACATCACAATGGTACAAGTGATCTGAGAGCTTTCTCTGCCCCATCTTTAAAAGCTGCTTGAATCTACCCAGGCTTCAGGAGTGATAATCTAACCACTATGAAGTTTTAAATCATGATTGTTAGTAGAAAATATCACCTACATTTTTAGAAAATAGGAATATGCGGCCAGGCGCGGTGGCTCACACCTGTAATCTCAGCACTTTGGGAGGCTGAGGCAGGCAGATCACCTGAGGTTCAGGAGTTCAAGACCAGCCTGACCAACATGGAGAAACCCCGTCTCTACTTAAAAATACAAAATTAGCCGGATGTGGTGGTGCCTGCCTGTAATCCCAGCTACTCAGGAGGCTGAGGCAGGAGAATCGCTTGAACTGGTGAGGTGGAGGTTGCGGTGAGCTGAGACCATGCCACTGCACTCCAGCCTGGGCAACAAAAGCGAAACTCCATGTCACACACACACACACACACACACACACACACACACACACACACACAAACAAGATTTTGCCTTCTTTGCCAAAAGAAGCTGCTTCTCTTTAATATAGGAAATGAAGTTTCTATGCCATGAGCATGTTTACAGGTTGATTAGTTTATTTTTCTTTGAAGCATTTCTAAAAATATTTTCCTTTCTAGTACCAGCTTATTAACTTGAATGCATTCTCATCAGGCCCTGTCTTGGTTCCTGCATAATTCTTAAAGCAAAGGGCTATCTGCTAAGTATCCTAGGAACTTATCAGACTCCCACAAAGTTACCAAGGCTGAAAGAATTGTTTATACAATGTGAATAAAAATACTTTATGCACTGCGATTATAAACCACTGACTCTCAGCTCATACTATAAAAATTCTTCAAGAAGCTGGTATTTTATTTTTGCATGAAAATTTCATTCAGATACATTTCAACTTATAGGACTAGGAAACTAAAAATACTGAAACTCAGTTTCAAGCAAGGAATTGACTTTAATGGAAAAAAGCATAAAATTTATTGTGGGTCAAAAGACAGGAATACAAGTGTCATCTAGCCTATGTATTTGTCATGTGTAGTAGGAAAGATACTGTTATGTTGCACAATTATAGGTATATTTCCTCCATTTCCATCTTTGCCGAAGACCTGCCCCCCCATTTGAGTTAATGATGCTTATTCTTTGAGACTTTGTATCAGACTAAGTATCAGTCTGATACAAAGTATGAGACTGTATCTGTTCACCTTTTTGGGGATTCTTGACACAGAATGCAGTACCCACACCAACTGTATTGCTTAATTTTTGTAACTTTTTATTTTGAAGTAATTTCAAACTTATAGAAATGTTGTAAATATAATAAAAACACTCTCATATACCATATACTCGAAATCCCAATTATTGACAATTTATCACATTTGCTTTGTTATGTTCTCTCTTCCTTTCTTCTCCTTCTCATGTGGGTGTACACAGACATAAACACAAACAGATACCATTTTCTTTAAACCGTAAGAGAGTAAGTTGTAGAAATGAAATCCCTTTACCTCTAAATCCTTTAGTGTATATTAGTTAAGAAAAACCATGTTCTCTTATATAACTGCAGTACAATTATAAAGATGATAGAATTGCATTCATAAAATATTAATATCTAATTTGTAGACTTAATCAAATTTCAATCACTGACATATTTAAGCATTTTATAGAAAAAAATTGTGGTCCAAAATCCAATCATGGGTTGCATTCTGTTACTGTCTTGTCTACTTTTCTCTGGAACAGGTCCTTGGGATTTATTTTTTGATCTTTCATGACTTTGATATATTTTTATAGTATAGACAAGTAGTTTTCTAGAATGTCTATCAATCTGGGTTTGTCTAATGTTTCCTCATTATTAGATTTAGGCTATATTTCTTTGCAAGAATACCTTGTGATACTGTGTCCTTAGCACATTGTACCAGGAGGCACATGATGTCATTTTAAACATTACTGGCAATGTTAGTTTTGATCACTTGGTTAAAATGGTGTTTACCAGGGTTCTCCCCTTTAAGTCACCCTATTTTTCTTTGCAGTTAATAAGTATTTCGTGGGGAGATACTTTAAAGTTATATTTAAGTATCCTCTTCCTTATTGAACTCTCCACCCACTGGTTTTAGCATCCATTGATGATTGTTCCCTGAATCAATTACTATTATAAGGATTAACAAATTGAGATCTAACTCCATAATTTTCTCTTCATTTATTAGTACTAAATACTATTTTAAACAAAATGGAGGCTGAATCCCCGAAGAATGGCTAATTCCAGGGCAAGGGATAGAAAAGGCAAAATAAGTCTGAACTATCTTGTATAGCAAGAAAGCATGGAGTTTCTATAAAAATGATGGGAATATGTCAAAATGATACCAGAGCTGGCCTGAAGGGGCTCTACTCAATACATCTTGGATAATTAGAGCACCAAAATGAATACAATAATATGAATGATGGGCTATAATCCATTGACTAAAATAAGAATAATAATGTAAGCATCTATGAGGCCATTGCATGGATGGAGATGGAAGCCATTATCCTCAGCAAACTAATGCAGGAACAGAAAACCAAATACCACGTGTTCTCACTTATAAGTGGGAGCTGAATGATGAGAACACATGGACACACTGTGGAGTACAACACACACTGGGGCCTGTCAGAGTGTGGGGGTTGGGAGGAGAGAGAGCATTAGGAAGAATAACTAATAGATGCTGGGCTCAATATCTAGGTGATGGGATGATCTGTGCAGCAGACTGCCTTGGCACACATTTGCCTGTGTAGCAAACCTACACATCCTGCACATTTACCCCTGAACATAAAATAAAAATTGGAAATAAAAACAAATAAAAATTAAAAAATAATGAATGAATGAATAGAATATGAATGAATGAATAGAATATGAATGAATAGAATAATGAATGAATAAATAGAAAGTTGTAAATATAAAGCTCTTTCTATTAGAAAGAAAAGAAGTAAGACTAGAATGCCCATTTTCTTTTTAAAGAGCCATTGGTTTGATGGAAGTGTGTTAAAAATCTAGTCAACAAGCCAGAACTTCATTACCTCCTCAAAGGTACTTCCAACACATTCCTGAGAGACATAACGGCATCCTTGCTACAGAGAAATGTGAAATTCTTGAGAGGTGTCTTTGCTATGAGACAGAAAAGAATACTGACCCACCGCCATTAGTTCCGGGGAGCATGACACAGAAAAATATTTCAGGGGCTTTAAATCACCAGACTTTTAATCACCAGATTAAGACTTCTAGTCTTATGCCTTTAATAAGAGCTACAGTTAAATATGTTTTATAATACTCCAAGCTGTAATTTAAACCTTGATGCCCCCCTACCTGTCGACAGATAAAGAGGCTCCCTGCTTAGTCAGAACCCTGGCCATCACCTAGTGTTTACTGCTAAGTGTGTCTGTAACATTCTGGAGACTGGAATAGGAAGCTCACTCACCATATGCCTAAATATTTACAAAGTTATATCTCTAGCTAACAATTTTGCTAAGTAAAATATGTTCCACCTTCCTATTCTGAAAAATGTACCATCAAAATTACAAATAAAAGTGTTAATGTATGGCTTTTGTATGACTACAAATAAGCAAAAAAGCCAAGTTGGATGAATTTTATTATTGTTGCACATACCTGAACATTCTTTTGATGGTACAATGATGTTTCCCCCATGAAAGCAGGTTCTGAGGAAAGGACTCTGGTGCAGGCAAACATATTTAGATGGTTTTCCCAGGAAGTACAAGAGATGGAGCAAGAAAATAGAGGCAGGAAAGGATGAAAAGCTAAATAAGTATGTGTTAGTCAATAGTTTACCACCGTGGAAAACTGGGCCTCACTTCCACTGGAGGAAATCTTTAACTAAAACACCCTCCACCATCCTTGCCTTTGTACACATACATGAGGTTGTTTTTCTTCAATACATAGTTCAATTTTAGGAAATTAATTTTCTATGCCAAAAGCATATTTGCAGATTGATTAGTTTATTTTCCTCTAAAGCATTTCTGAAACTCTTTCTTCTTTCTAATAATAGTTGTTTAACCTGAATGCATTTTCATTAGTGCAGTCCACCTCTAAGAATTGTCACACAGTGAGACAGGGAAGCTTGGATATTTTAAAATATATTTTGACTTTCCTTGATTGATGATTGTCTATGAAAGTATTAAATTCTCAGTACTTGAGGCTGTTATATTCACTGTCTGAGCAAGACCCCCATAGCACCAGAGAGAGCTCTCAGAGAAGCAGGAAGTCATAAGCCCTTGAGTTTTTTTTCCAAAAAATTATTTTTTAGATTTTATAATCAAGATTTTTATATATGTTCTATCCCAAGTAATAAGCTAAATGCATTTTAAGGTCACAAAATTTGTATTTTCATCAAAGATGAAATTCAGAGTAAGTATAAAGTTAAAAATAGTAATATTTCCAGATTTTTAAAGGTCTTTGAAAAAATATTTAAATGACAAGGCAAAGCACAAGTTATACCAACATCAAAATGTTAAATCAAAATCATTTTTAGACAGGTGACATTTTTATGTTTTATTTTGAAAACTGATTAAATCTTTTAAGACATTTTAAAATAACCTATTTTGTTATAATTTTATATTTACAAAAGTCATAAAAATAATGAGATAATTCCTTATCTCGTTTCCCCTATTGTTAACATCTTACTTTACCATGCTATATTTCTCACAATTAAGAAAGCAACATTGGCACATCATTATGAACTGAATTCCATATTTTATTCAAATTTCATCAGTTTTCCACTAGTGTTCTTTTCTGTTTTAGAATCCAATCTGGGATACCATATTGCATTTTATTTTTGTGTCTCCTTAGTCTTCTCTGGTCTATGATGGTTTCATAGTCTTTCTCTCTTTTTCATCTTTCTCTCTTGAAAGATTTTAGGAGTACTGGTATTTTGTAGAGTGTCCTTCAGTTGGGGTTTATCTGATGTTTTTCTCATGATTAGATGGTGGTCATGGATTTAGGGGAAGAATACCAAAAAGTGAGGTACTCTTCTTGTCATATGTCAGGGGACACCTGCTATACACATGAGAAGCTGATGTTTGCCACTTCTTCAGTGTAAGTTTACATACTCTATCTTTTGGAGATGAGCCACTAAATCCAGCTCATAATCAGGAAGATGGGGAAATTAAGGTTTGTTCCATATTTTTTGTTATTATTTTATTTTAGGCTCAGAGGGTACATGTACATGTTTGTTAAATGTATATATTGCATAATGGTGAGGTTTGGGTTTCTAGTAAACTGTTACCAAATAGTGAACATTGTACTCAACAGGTAATTTTTCAACCCTCAGCCCCTTCTAGCTTTCCCTCTATTGGAATCCCCAGTGTCTATTATTTCCATTTTTATGTCGATGTATATGCATTGTTTAGCTCCAACTTATACGTGAGAACATATAGTACTTTGTATTAGTCCGTTCTCACACTGCTATAAAGAAATACCTGAGACTGGGTAATATATGAAGGAAAGAGGTTTAATTAACTCACAATTCCACAGGGCTAGGGAGGCCTCAGAAAACTTACAATCATGGTGGAAGGGGAAGCAGACACCTCTTACAGGGTGGCAGCAGAGAAAGAGGAGCAAGTGTGAAGGAGGAACTGTCAAACACTTATAAAACCATCAGATCTCATGAGAACACACTGACTATCACAAGAAAGGCATTGGGAAAACTGCCTCCATGATCCAATCACCTCCAACCAGGTCCCTCCCTTGACATGTGGGGATAATGAGGATTACAATTAAAGATGAGATTTGGGTGGAGACACAGAGTCAAACCGTATCATATTTTATTTTCTCTTTCTGAGTTATTTCACTTAGGATAATGGCCTCCAGCTCCGTTCATGTTTCTGTAAAGATCATAATTTTATTCTTTTCTATGGCTGCATAGTATTCCATGGTGTATTTGTACTATGTTACCTTTATTCAACGTACCGTTGATGGACATGTAGGTTGATTTCATGACTTTGCTGTTGTGAATAGTGCTGCAATAAACATATGAGTGCGGGGGTCTTTTTGATAAAACTATTTCTTTTTCTTTGCATAGATACCTAATAGTAAGTTTGCTGGGTTGAATAGTAGTTTTATTTTTACTTCTTTGAGAAATCTCTATGCTGTTTTCAATAGAGATTGAACTAATTTACAGTCCCATCAACAGTGAATATGCATTCCCTTTTCTCCACATCCATGCCAACATCTGTTTGACTTTTTAATAATAGGCACTCTAACTGATGTGAGATGATATTTTATATGACTTTAATTCTGTTTCTCTGAAAATTAGTGATGCTGTGCATTTTTTATATATTTATTGGCCACTTGTATGTCTTCTTTTGAGAAGCTTCTGAAGGTTCACAACCTTTGCCTACTTTTTAATGGGGTTATTTGGTTTTTTCTTGTTGAATTGTTTGAGTTCCTTATATATTCTTGATACTAGTCTTTTTGTTCTGGTTATTATATATTTGTAGTCATTAATCCTTTGTATTTGTATTTTTTTGGTCTCAATTTCATTTAGTTCTTCTCTCACTTTGTTATTTTTTTTTTCTGCTGCTGGCTTTGAGGTTTTTTGTTGTTGTTTTTGTTTTTCTAGTTCCTTGATGTGTGATGTTAGGCTTTTAATTTGAAAGCTTTCTTTTTGGTGTAGGCATATATAGCACTGCTTTTGTTATATTCCAGAGGTTTTGGTATTTTGTGTCTCTATTTTCATTAATTTCAAAAAAAAAAATATTTCTGTCTTAATTTTATTGTTTACCCCAAAGTCATTCAGGAGCAAGTTGTTTAGTTTCCTTGTACTTGTGTGGTTTTGAGAGATACTGTTAGTATTGATTTCTAATTTTATTCCACTGTGGTCTGAGAAGTTACTTCATATGATTTCATTTTTAAAAAATTTATTGAGATTTGCTTTATGTCCAAGCATACAGCAAATTTTAGAGAATGTTACATGCACAGATGAGAAAAATATGTATTCTGCAGTTGTTGGGTAGAATGTTCTATAGATGTCTATTAAGTATATTTAGTCAAGAGTCCAGTTTAAGTTCAGTTTCCTTGTTAATCTTCTGTCTTGATTATTTGAGTAGTGCAGTTAGTGAAGTGTTGAAGTCCCCCACTATTACTGTATGGCTGTCTATCTCTTTAGGTCTAGTAGTATTTGTTTTATAAACCTGAGTGCTCAGGTGTTGGGTGTTTATATATTTAGGGTAGTTAAATCTTCTTGTTGAATAAATCCTTTATCATTAGATAATACCTGTCTTTTTCTTTTTTTACTGTTGGTTGTTTGAAGTCTGTTTTATCTGATATAAGAATAGCAACTACTGCTCTTTTTTGTTTTCCATTTGCATGATATATATTTTCCACCCATTTACTTTGAACTTAGGGTGTCTACATGTTATATGAGTCTCTTGTAGACAGCAGATATTTGTTTTTTTTAATCTAATTTGTGAATCTATATCTTTTAAGTGGAGTATTTATGCTATTTGTGTTTAAGGTTAATATTGATAGTGAAGTTTGGTTCCTCTCATAGTTTCATTATCTGGTTACTTTTTAGTCTCAACTATGTAATTGCTTTACAGGAACTGTGAAATTTTTACTTATGTATGTTTTTATGGTAGCAAGTATCATCCTTTTGCTTCCATGTTTAGAACTCCTTTGAACATTTCTTGCAGGGCTGATCTAGAGGTGATGAATTCCCTTAGTGTTTGCTTGTCTGTGAAAGACTTTATTTCTTCTTTATTTATGAAGCTTAGGTGGGCAGGATATAAAATTCTTGACTGACTTTTTTTTTTTTTTTTTATTCTGTAAGGAGGCTAAAAATAGGCCCCTAATCTCTACTGGCTTGTAAGGCTTCTGCTGAGAAGTCTGTTGTTAGTTTGATGGGATTCTCTTTATAAGTGATTTGACCCTTTTCTCTAGCTGCCTTTAAGATTTTTTATCGTTGATCTTGGATAATCTGATGACTGTATACCTTGGTGATGTTTGTCTTTATGATATTTCATGGGTATTATCTGAATTTCTTTCATCTGGATGTCTACCTCTCTAGCAAGGTCAGGAAAATTTTCCTGAATTGTTCTCTCAAATATGTTTTCCAAATTTCTTACTTTTTCTTATCTCTCAGGAATGCATATAATACATGGTCACTTGATATAATCTCTTATTTCTCAAAGGCTTTGTTTCTTTTTTAAATTTTTTATTTATTTTTGTCTGACTGAGTTAATTCATAAGACCAGTCTTCAAGATCTGAAATTCTTTCTTCTGCTTGATCTAGTCTATTGTGAAAGCTTTTATCGATTTTGAAATTCCTTTACTGAAAATTTTATTTCTAGAAGTTCTGTTTTTTTAATATAGCAATCTTGATTTAATATCCTGAATTGTTTTTGGGTTTTTTTTTATGTTGTTTTTCACCTTTCTCTTGGATCTCATTGAATTTCCTTACAATCCATACTTAGAATTCTTTATCTGTCATTTCAAAATTTTCATTTTGGTTAGAATGCGTTGCCCAAAAGCTAGTGCGGTCTTCTGGAGGTGTGAAAATACTCTGTCTTTTTGTAATGCTGGAGTTCTTGTGCTGTGTCCTTCTCATGTGAAGTACCTGTTGCTTCTTAAGTTTGAATTTACTGTCATTTCATTGAGGCTTTTTAATTGTTACATTTTTTCCCCTTGAGGGTGTGACTATGGTATATGTTTTTTCTGATCATTTGACTTTGTTTCTGTATGCTTTCAGGGCCAAGACTCTGTATGGGTTCCTTGGTTATGGGTAGCTTTTGTTAAGTGGCTTTCTCAAATGCTCCTTGTTATAGAGAAGTATTGGATATATGAGCTGACTCACTATCTTCTGTGAGGCTAGGAGTGCAGAAGTCTCAGGATGCTTTTCTTGGACACTAGAACTATGCCCTTCTTACAGAAAGTTTTTTGTTTGGTGGTGCAGTTCAATCTTCAGTCAGGTAGGTGGTGCTTAAAGTTAAGATCTGGCTCATCCTTAGGTAGGTTGATAATGAGTGGAAGCACCCACCATCATGGGTGGGGGAGTGGTGAGGAGATTTTATATTGGGATGCACTGAAGTCTCTGGGATAGGGGTAACACAGGGGGCCTCACAAGCAACTTGCCATAGACAGACAGGAATGCAATCCACTTTCCTATCATCCCCCTGTTGCAGAGCTCACAAGCTTCAGTTCATATAGACATTGTCTTCTGACTCCCAGCTGCAGTGCAACTAAAGTCTGCAGGAATGCCCCTCTGGCAGCTACCTCTGAAACGGGCTTGGGGCAAAGGCTCTTCCTCCAGTCCAGAGCAGATAGCTTTGTGACTTGTCTTCCCTCTGTTGCTGGGACCCTGCTGCTCTCTGTGGGGAAAGAAAGATAGTCTCTGCCTTTCATGCATGCCTGAGTGGTGCAGATTCACTTTAAACAGGGGTGAAGCTGCTGTGAAATGTCCTGGAAAGGCTGTCTCCAAGTGCACTACTCCAGCCCCCAGCAAGGAGAGCCTCTGCTGTGTCTGCAACAGTGGATCGGGGAGTGGGAGATGACCCACTTAATAATAATTAAGTAGTCATTTGGGGAAAATACAAATAAAACCTCAAGTGATATTATTCCATACCTATTGGTGAGGCAAAAATTAGAAGGACTGATGATACCAAATGTTGGACAATATGTAGAGCACTGGAGTTCCCATATACTGTTGGAAAGAGTGTAATTTGGTACAATTACTTTGGAAATCTGTCAGTATCTACTAAATCCAAATAGTTGGCTATTTATTATCCAGAAATTCCACTCTTATTTACATACTCTCAGAAATGCATTTATTTCTTCACCAAAATGTATAAGAATGTTCGTGGCAGCTTTACCAAGCAATAGCTCAAAACTTTAAACAAGCAAAATGAACAGATCCAACAAATATAGGGTAGAAATATCAGATGTTAGTGTGATTTTATGTGGGGGATATGGAAGAATGAGGAGTCCATGATGAATGTCAGGTTTCTATCTTGGCAACTGAGTGGAAATGTGATGACATTTATTGCAAGCAAACACAGAATATGGAGCTGATTTGAGGGAAAGGATGAGTTCCTTTTTGGACTCATTGACTTTGAGGTGCATAAAAATCCAGCCAAATGGAGATATTTAGTAGCATAAGGGTATAAATCCCAGGAGAAGAATCTGAATCATAGATGTATTTTCTGAGATATGAACTTTTAGTTCGCAATTAAAATGAATAACATCTCCCATAGAGATTGTGCCGATTGAGATGTTGAGAGGACATATGACAGAACTGAATTGACATTTAAGGAAAAGTACAGAAAATAAAAGTCCACAAAAATCTATTAAATCATTCAAAATTTAGAAAGTGCTTGAACACCTAATATAGGCCAAACACAGTTTCAGGCAATGGAGATATATAATTATACTGAACATGTAAATCCTTGCCCTCATGTAGTTTACATTCGATTGGGAGAAACAGACAATAAATAACAAGTTTTTATATTACTTGCCAATAAATGCTGTGACGAAACATAAAACAGGAAATAAACATAGAGACGTTGTTGGGGCAATTTTAAGTTTTTAAATTTTTTTATTGTGGTAAATTGTATGTAACATAAAATTTACCATCCTAACCATTTTTAGGCGTATAGTTCAGTACTGTAGATACCTTCATTTCTATTGTTGAGCAACAAGTCCCCAGAATTCTCTTCATGTTAAAAAATAGAAACTTTATACCCATTAAATAACTCTCCATTCCCCACCTCCCAGCCCCTGGCAATCACCATTCTACTCTCTGTCTCTATGAGTCTGACTACTTTAGGTACCTCAGACAAGGGGAATTGCATAGCTGTTTGTCCTTTTGTAACTGGCTTGTTTTACTTAGCATAATGGCCTCGAGGTTCATTCACGTTGTAGCATGTGTCATAATTTCCTTTATTTTTAAGGCTAACTAATATCCCATTGTACATATATGTTACATTTTGTTTATTCATTCATCAGTGAACACTTGGATTTCTTCCACATTTTTGTAATTGTGAATAATGCTACTTTGAACATGGGTGTCCAAATACCTGTTCAAGTCTCTGTTTTCAGTTCTTTAGTGTATATACCCAGCAGTGAAATTGCTAGATCATATGGTAATTCTATTTTTTTATTTTTTGAGGAACTGTCATATTGTTTTTCATAGCAACTGCACCATTTTATATTCCCACACACAGTGCACAGGTGTTCAATTTTTACATGCCTCACCAACACTTGTTACTTTCTGTTGGAAGTTTGTACTTTTAAATAGGGTGATGGAGGTAGGCTTTATTGAGTTGGTAAAATTTGAGTAATGATCTTAAGAAAGTCAGGGAATGCTCCAAATTATGAGAAAGAATAGGTAAATGGCAAGAGGAGTGAGAAAAGAAATAACAAAAGTGAAGTCTTCCAAAAAATCAAGAGAGGAGGAAACAAACTTAACATTCTACAGAGAAAAAAATCAGTACTAACAATTATCCATTGATTCATCACCATGAACATCACTGGTGGACCTGACAAGATACATTCTGGTGGAGCAGCGTAAGCACAAACTCCATCATAGGGGACTGAACAATGAATGAATATGGGCTCTTTCCATGCAGAAAATGTTGACTATTTTTAAAAAGTTAGTTGTAAAAGGGAAGACAATGGTAGTGACGTTGCTGTGGGAGATAGCAGGCTGAAGAAAGGTTTCGTTTGTTTATCTTTAAGATAGGAAAGTCTTGAGTATGTAGAAAATATTGATGAGAAGAAGCCAGTAGAAAAGAAGAGTTAGTGGTAGAAGACACAGGAATAAGAGTTTAACTAACAAGATCAAGGGATCTCTGGAGATACTGGAGGGATTGAGATCTGAGCCGTGAAACTCAATGTATTAGGCCATTCTTGCATTGCTATAAAGAAATACCTGAGACAAGGTAATTTATAAAGAAAAGAGGTTTAATTGGCTTATGGTTCTGCAGGCTTTGCAGGAAGCATGGTGTGGCATCTGCTTGGTTTCTGGAGAGGCCTCAGGGAGCTTTTACTTATGGCAGAAGGTGAAGCAGGAGGAGACATGTCATGTGGTGAGAGCAGGAGCAAGAGAGAGGTGGGAGGTGCCACTCATTTTGAAACAGCCAGATCCCATGAGAATTCACTCACTATCATGAGGACAGCACCAAGCCATGGGGGATCCACCCCCATGACCCAGACACCTCCCACCAGGCCTCACTTCCAATACTGTGGATTACATTTCAACTTGAGATCTGGGGGAATAAATATCCAAACTATATTATTCAGTGAATATCTTTGATGGAAGGCAGATGGAGGAGTTGTTATGTGTGGATGAAGGGAATTTATGTAGCAGACATTTCATGGCTTTTTGATGATGATGTCTATCATCACTGTAAGGTAGGGTGAGTTCATCTGCTCAGACTGGCAGCAGAGATGGTAGGATTGAATGTTTAAGACAAAGAGATCAACAATTTGTGAGCGTCTGTGAAGTATCTGACTCGAAAAAAAATGAAAGGCTTTGTGGGCAACATTGAGAGTACATTTGAGATAGAAGACTGCAACTAAATTTTTATACTAGCTATTTAATAATTTATAGACACTAAATCATACCTGAGGAAAGCCTAGGTGGTTGTTTTATTAATACCTAAATTGAGTTAGGAACCTCTAATGACACCTTATCTAATGACAGCTACCTGTGTTGGAGGAATAATGCTGGGAAGGTAAGAATTCAATCCAGTGGGCTCAGTCTTTTAATCTCTAACTGGAAAAGTGATGGAAAAGACACAAATGTGTACTGAAAACAAGGAAGAATATTTTAATTCATAATAAACTTTTACAATGTAAATGAATACCAATTTAGAAACTGCACTTTTGAAATACTTCTGTTATCTTTGCTGCCATAGGAATTTCTTGGTGAAAGACTGAACTAGCAATTACAAACTTTACAAATGAGGAATACACGTGTCCCCTGCCTGGTATCTGTTGCAATTGCCCTTTATTCAATCACCCACAGCTGGAGTAATTGGATCTTTAGGTACAGGTTAATGGGATAATTAGGCAAACATGATCAAACTTGTATACTATGAGGAAATGGATGGCTGCTGTCTCTGAGCCTCCTGTTGTACGCTGTGCTTGTGCAACCTGTTCTTCATTTCTATGGGCAATAAAGTAGGAGATGGATTAGCTGCAAGTGATTTCGTCTGTCTGTAAGTGGAAGTGTGGTTTGATTTAAATGATTTTTAAGAGGCAGCTACAGAAATAACTAGCTAGAGATGAAATGGATGAGGTATGCCTGCTTCACAAAGAGCCAGTGTAATTTGGCCCTGGTATTTCATAGTCTTTTGGATGCCATTTTCTCCCTAATACATTAATAGCATGCTCATCTAGGAGGCTGTTTTCTCATAGATCTTACAGAGGAAATAGAAAATGACATGATTCCATGGAAGAATATAATAGAAAGCAAACACCCAGCAGTAAATTCCCAAATAGAGTAAAGCCCATGAAATGGGGAAGGCCCATCACACTGTCTTCTGAAGATTAATATAATTTCATTTATCTTTTTCATGGTTATTTCTATGAGTTCTGACTGCCTAGAACTCTGTGTTATGAGAAATCATGGGAAAGCTGGTGCCTGATTTCCCATTGCCTTTCCAGAAAGATAGACCTACTTTAGGTGCACAGCTATACATACGGGAGTGGGGACTTAACATCACCTATCTTAATATGCACCTGCTAATGAACTCCACCCCTCTTCTTCCTAGTTTGACAACTCCACTATGGGAGTGTTAAGTGATGAGAATGTCTTATCTCCAATGGTTACAATTGAAATGTCACTATGTTAACCTGAAGTTGCTTTTTCACCTTCTGTTACCATAGATTTGCTTGTTGAGTGATGGTATATGGGCCAGTAATATGACTTAAGGGAGGAGTCTAATAACTGGTTACAACAGGCCCTTTCAGAGAAAGGCACTGAGATATGACTATCAGGTTTAGACTAATTATATTCTGGAACAATAATTGGGGTCATCAGTTTGGCACTATGCAGATGCTCCTTGACCTACAATAGGGTTGGTTTCCAGTAAACCTATTGTAAGTTGTAAATGCATTTAGTGCACCTAACCTAGCAAACATCATAGCTTAGCCTAGCCTCCCCAAAACATGCTCAGAACACTTAACATTAGCCCACAGTTGGACAACGTTGTCTAACATAAAGCCTATTTTATAATAAAGTGTTGAATATTTCATGTAACTTATTGAATACCATGCTGGAAATGAAAAACAGAGAGCAGTTGTATGGGTACTCAAGGTATGTCAAGGTATGGCTTCTACTGAATGCATATTGCTTTTGTATCATTGTAATGTCAAAATATTTTAAGTCAAACCATCATAAATTGGGGACTGCCTGTATACAATTTTCATATATTTGGCTCTGCCCAGGGTCTACCTCACATTTTCAATAATGTAGAAAATTAAAATGAAAACTTTTTATTTATTTATTAAAATAATCCTTTCCTTTTAGAATACTTTTAGAATGACAGAATTATTGTGAAGTTAGTACAAAGTTCCTGTATATTCCATACTCAGTTTCCCCTATCATCTTACATAAGTATATTTTACTTGCAACAATTAATGAACCAATATTGGCACATTATTAATAAATGTTCATAATTTATTCAGATTCTATCTGTTTTTTTTCTAATGTCCTTTTTCTGTTCCAGGATCCCATCCAGGGTACCACGTTGCATTTAGTTGTCATGTCTCCATAGGTTCCTCTTGGTTGTGACTGTTTTTTTACACTCATTTTTAATTGATATTGATGGTTTTGAGGAATATTGGTCAGGTACTTTGTAGGATGTCCCTCAATTTGGGTTGTCTGATATTTTTTTCTCATGATTAGACTGGGGTTATGAATTCTGGGGAGGAAAACCAAAGTTGAAGTACTGTTCTTATAGCATCATATCAAGGGTACACACTGTCAATATACCTTAACACTACTGATGTTGACCTTGACCACCTGGCTTGAGGTAGAGTTTTCCAAGTTTTTCCACTATAAAGTTGCTCATTCCCCCTCCACTTTCACACTATGCTTTTTGGAAGAAAGTCGCTGCACACTGCTAACATATAAAGAGTGGGGTATTATGCTCTACCTCTTTAGTGCAGAGGATCTACAGAAATTATTTGGAAGTCTTCTGCACAGGAATATTTGTCTATTTTCTCCATTTATTTCTTTATTCAGTCACTTATTTACATTAATATAGACTCGTGGATATTTATTTTATACATTGGGTCATAGCCCAATAATGTTATTTTATCATTGTGGAGGGTTGATTTTTTTTTTTTTAGCACTTTCTTTCTGGGTGATATAGTCTGGATATGTGTCCCTGCCCAAATCTCATGTTGAAATATAATCCCAGTGTTGGAGGTGGGGCCCAGTGGGAGGTGATTGGATCATGGGGGTGGATCCCTTATGAATGGCTCAGGCCATCCCCTTGGTGATAAGTGAGCTTTTGTTCTGAGTTTGCAGGAGATCCAGTTGTTTAAAAGTGTGTGGCACCTCCCCACTCCATGCTCTCTCTCACCTGTTTCTGCTTTTGCCATGTGACCTGCCTGTTCCCCCTTTGCCTTCTGCCATGATTCAAAGCTCTATGAGGCTTCACCAGAAGCTGACCAGGTGCTAGCACCATGCTTCCTGTAAAGTCTGCAGAGCTGTGAGCCAATTAAACTTCTTTTCTTTATAAATTACCCTGTCTCAGGTATTTTTTATAGCAGTGCAAGAATGGCCTAATACACTGGGACTACAAGAACTTCTAATATCATCATGTGTGTTTCTTTCCTTAGTCCTAGAATCAGCGATTTCTCCAAGAAACTTTTAAATATGGTCTGGAGTCTTTACTAGGTTTTCAGCTTTGTTTCCTTTTCTAGAAATAATCTTCATAAATTCACTAATGTCTAGTTTTTGAAAATTCAGAAACATTAATAAACAAAAACATTTGAGGGAATATAAATTGAGTAAAGGTATGTGAAGCACAGAGGGATCTTGGGGTAGTGACAAACTCTCTATGAGATGGTAATGATGGAGACACATCATTATACATTTGTCCAAATTTATAGAATGTACACATCAAGAACAAACCCTAATGTAAGCTATAGACTTTGGGTGAAAATGATGTGTCACTATAGTTTATCTACTGTAAGAATTTAAAGATGGCTCTGGTGGAGGATGTTGTTAATGGGGAAGCTATGCTGTGTATGGGCAGGGGTAAATGTAAAATCTCTATACATTCCTCTTAATTTTGCTACGAACCTAAAACTGCTCTAAAAATAGTCTTTAAATTATTAAAAAAATGCAGTCATAAGGTTGTTGCTACCTTCTCATATACCTCATCTGTACAGTGTTGTGAGAGATCAAAGACCAAAAATAGAAACTCTTAGGATAAGGCTTTTTGTTCAGTTACTAAAATATTTTTTTGAAAAAAGTTAAAAAGATGATTTGGTGAGAATGATACTGAACCAACACGGGCAGGGGTACTTCAGATAAAGCCTTGGAACCTCACTCTATTTTACTTTTTATTTGAGACAAACCAAAGCAATAACATGCTTAATCATAGTCCATCTATTAGCATATAAAAATACAGTTATTATTAACTATTTCTAGAAGTCATACTGGAATATTGGGATGTATAAATTGACCTAAAAATTGTTGGTTGTCTAACATTCTAAATAAATCGTCTTTTTTCAACGTTTTTTTTTGCTACAGAAAACTTTTTTTTTTTTTTTGGAATGGGGTAGTTATGAGTGTCTTTCTAACTCCCAGTGGAGGTGGTGTTCTATTGTAGAAGGTCGATATTTTATTTTGAAATTTTGAAGTGAGATATGGCAAGATAAGAACTGCTTGACATACTAACTTTACAGTAGTTTGTACAAGAAAATTATCTTCCAGTCCTGAGGCATTCTAGATGGAAAGATCAAAGTGAGTAGCATCTTGACATAGAATATGCTGTTCTACTTTCAAGTCCAGTACTGCTGCTGTCACCCTGACAAAAAGTAAAGTCAATGTTGAGTAAGCCATGAAGGGTTCTAAGGCTATTTTGACTGGAAAGGGGAGAAGATTGAATGAGATAACAATGCAAAATGGGCTGTCTAGATTTTGCAATTGACTTTCCATTTCCTATTCTTTTACTTTTTAGGGCTGTACATTTTATCAATTTTCATAGTGATTAATGTACAAAGAGAAGCCATGGTGGAAGACACCTGTGGGAGGCTGGTGGTAAAACCAGAAAGAGGACTGGGGCACATAAAATAATAAAGGTTATAGTAAAATATTTAAAGAGCCAGGCAGCCTCTCCTTGCTGCCTACCAAAATTCTAATATTCATACAGCGAAGGGAGATATGTAGGGACAGGCATTTAAACATCACAGGGAAACTGCTATAAAGTCTGTACCATCTGTGGGAGAAAGCCATGAAACACACATGAAAATTATGGGAGGAGTTGCATGAGGGCAGCCCCTTGGAATAGAGAAAGTGTAGATTATTTTTCTTTCTCCTTTACACTGAGTACATGCAATCATAAAAAAGGAGGATGGAACCTGGGCAGGAAAAGTGAGGAGAATATATTCCTAGAGAAGATGAGGGTTTTGGCCATGGATCTAAAGTAGGTTTCCTCAACCTCAGTGGCATTACTGACATTTGGGTCCAGATAATTCTCTGTAATGGAAGAGACCATGCTGAGTGTTAGAAGATGTTTAGCAGCATCCCTGGCCTCTACCCACGAGATGCTACTAGTATCCTGTCAATTATGAGAACCAAAAATATCTCCAGAGATTGGTGAAATGTTCCCTGCAGGACAAAACTGTACCCACATGAGAACCATTGGTCTAGAGGCTTCTAAACAAAAAAAAAGTGTGTGTTTGGTTCTTTCTCTTTATATATAAGCCAAGTAAAATGAGAATAAAGAAAATATTCACATGAAATTTCTTGTGTAAGTGTTTAGCAAATAGCAAATGCTCAATTAATTTTAGCCAAGATGATTTGATGCAGGGATTAAATGTTACAATGTATGTAAATGATCTGGCATATATAAGGGAACTTTGATAAATGGTATTAATTTCTTGCAAGTCTACTCTTCTAACACAAATTACTACTTAAAAGCTTAACAGGCGTATAGTGTGATATAGTTATTTCACCTATAATAGTACTTTAAGTGCTAAGTGGAAAATGAACAAACACATAATATGTAGAATATGTATGATATCTACAGATGTATATTTATTATTATATTTACATATTTATTATTTTTAAGAATGCACACAGCACATAAGTCTTGATTGCATAATCCTTTGGTCACAAATATATTTTAGAAATATCTAGGAGTGAAGTGACAGATGTAAGTTTAACTTTTTAAGAAAAAACAGTTTTCTAAGTTGTATTATTTTGCATTCACACAAAAAGTTACAAATCCTCTCCAATACTTAGCATGATATGTATTTTTAATTTCAGTCATTTTAATGGAAAGTAGTGATATTCCATGTGGTTTGAATTTGCATTTTCCTGATAACTGGCAATGCAGCTAATATTTTTGGCCATTTGTATGTTTTCCATTGTGAAGTGTCTCTTCAAATCTTTTACTTTTTGTAAATTGAGTTGTTTGTCTTATTGTGGGTTGAAAGAGATTTCTAAAACCGTGGTAAAATATACATACCATAGAATTGAACACCTTAACCATTTTCAAGTGTGCAGTTCAGTAATGTTAAGTACATTCACATATTTGTTCAACTAATCTCCAGAAGTCTTTCCATGTTGTAAAACCAATTGAACAAAATTTCTTATTATCCCCTCTCCCCAGCTGCTGGCAACCAAATTCTCTATGAATTTGACTACTACAGGCACTTCGTATAAGTGAAATCATACAGTATTTGTCTGTTTTGTGATTGACTTATTTTATATGGCATAATGTCCCTCCACATTCATCCACGTTGTAGCATGTGTTAGAATGTCCTTCCTTTTAAAGACTGAATAAATATGCACCTAACACAGGAGCACCCAAATTTATAAAACAATTACTAATAGACCTAAGAAATGAGATAGACAGCAGCACAATAAGAGTGGGGACTTCAATACTCCACTGACAGCACTAGACAGGTCATCAAGACAGAAAGTCAACAAAGAAACAATGGATTTAAACTGTACCTTGGAGCAAATGGACTTAACAGACATATACAGAACATTTCATCCAACAACTGCAGCATACCCATTCTATTCAACAGCACATGGAACTTTCTCCAAGATAGACAATATGATAGGCCATAAAACGAGCCTCAATAAATTTAAGAAAATTGAAATTATAGCAAGCACTCTCTCAGACCACAGTGGAATAAAACTGGAAATCAACCTCAAAAGGAAGCTTCAGAACCATGCAAATACATGGAAATTAAATAACCTGCTCCTCAATGAGCCTTGGGTCAAAAATGAAATCAAGATGAAAATTTAAACATTCTTCAAACTGAATGACAATAATGACACAACCCAATCTATCAAAACCTCTGGGATACAGCAAAGGCAGTGCTAAGAGAAAAGTTCGTAGCCCTAAGTGCCTGCATTGAAAAGACTGAAAGAGCACAAATTGACATTCTAAGGTCACACCTCAAGCAACTAGGAAAACCCAGAACAAGGCCGGGCACAGTGGCTCATGCCTGTAATCCCAGCACTTTGGGAGGCTGAGGCGGTGGATCACGAGGTCAGGAGATTGAGACCATCCTGGCTAACACAGTGAAACCCCACCTCTACTAAAAATACAAAAAAGGAGCTGGGCATGGTGGCGGGCACCTGTAGTCCCAGCTACTCGGGAGGCTGAGGCAGGAGAATAGCGTGAACCTGGGAGGCGGAGCTTGCAGTGAGCTGAGATCGTGCCACTACAGTCCAGCCTGGGCGACAGAGTGAGACTCCGTCTCAAAAAAAAAAAAAAAAAAACCAGAACAAACCAAACCCAAACCCAGCAGAAGAAAGGAAATTACCAAGATAAGAGTAGAACTAAATGAAACTGAAACAAACAAACAAACAAAATACAAAAGATAAATGAAACAAAAAACTTGATCTTTGAAAAGATAAATAAAGTTGATAGACCATTAGCAAGATTAACCAAGAAAAGAAGAGAGAAAATCCAAATAACCTCACTAAGAAACAAAACAGGAGATATTACAACTGACACTACAGAGATACAAAAGATCATTCAAGGCTACTATGAACACCTTTACACACATAAACTAGAAAACCTAGAAGAGATGGGTAAATTCCTGGAAAAATACAACCCTCCTAGCTTAAATCAGGAAGAATTAGATACCTTGAGCAGACCAATAACAAGCAGCAAGATTAAAATGGTAATTAAAAAATTACCAAACAAAAAAGTCCAGGACCAGGCGGATTCACAGCAGAATTTTACCAAACATTCAAATAATTGATACCAATCCTTTTGACACTATTCCACAAGATAGAAAAAGAAGGAATCCTCTCTAATTCATTTTATGAAGCCAGCATCATGCTAATACCCAAACCAGGAAAGGCCATAACCAAAAAGAAAATTACAGACCAATACTTATGATGAACATTGATGCTAAAATCCTTAACAAAATACTAGCTAACTTAATCCAACAACATATCAAAAAGATAATCCACCATGATCAAATAGGTTTTGTACCAGGAATGCAGGGATGGTTTAACATATGCAAGTCAATAAATGTGATGCACCACATAAACAGAGTTAAAAACAAAAATCACATGATCATCTCAATAGATGCTGAAAAAGCATTAGACAAAATCCAGCATTCCTTTAAGATTAAAACTCTCAGCAAAATCAACATATAAGGGACATACCTTAATGTAATAAAAGTCATCTATGACAAACCCACAGCCAACATAATACTGAATGGAGAAAGATTGAAAGCACTCCCTCTGAGAACTGGAACAGGACAAGAATGCCCACTCTCACCACTCCTCTTCAACATAGTACTGGAAGTCCTAGTTAGAGCAATCAGACAAAAGAAAGAAATAACGGGTATCAGAATCCATAAAGAGAAAACGAACCTGTCACTGTTTGCTGATGATATGATCATTTACCTTGAAAACCCTAAGGACTCCTCCAGAAAGCTCCTAGAACTGATAAAAGAATTCAGCAAAGTTTCTGGATACAAGATTAATGTACACAAATCAGTAGCTTTTCTATACACCAACAGTGACCAAGCAGAGAATCAAATCAAGAACTCAACCTCTTTTACAATAGCTGCAAAAATAAAATAAAATAAAATAAAATAAAATAAAATAAAATACTTAGGAATATACCTAATGAGGGAATCTAAAGACCTCTACAAGGAAAACTACAAAATGCTGCTGAAAGAAATCATAGATGACACAAACAAATAGAAACACATCCCATGCTCATGGATGGGTAAAATTAATATTGTGAAAATGACCATACTGCCAAAGCAATCTACAAATTCAACACAATCCCCATCAAAATACCACCATCATTCTTCACAGAATTAGAACAATTCTAAAATTCACATGGAACCAAAAAAGAGCCCATGTAGCCAAAGCAAGACTAACCAAAAAGAACAAATCTGGAGACATCATACTACCTGATTTCAACCTATACTATAATGCCATAGTCACCAAAACAGCATGGTACTGGTAGAAAAATAAGCACATCGACCAATGGAACAGAATAGAGAACCCAGAAAGAAACCCAAAGACTTACAGCCAACTGATCTTTGACAAAACAAACAAAAACATACAGTGGGGAAAGGACACCCTTTTCAACAAATGATGCTGGGATAATTGGCTAGCCACATGTAGGAGAATTAAACTGGGTCCTCATCTCTCACCTTGTACAAAAATCAACTCAAGGCCAGGCGCAGTGGCTCAGGCCTGTAATCCCAGCACTTTGGGAGGCTGAAGCAGGTGGATCACGAGGTCAGGAGATCAAGACCATCCTGGCCAACATAGTGAAACTCCATCTCTACTAAAAATATAAAAATTAGCTGGGTGTGGTGGCATGTGCCTATAGTCCCAGCTACTCATGAGGCTGAAGCAGGAGAACTGCTTGAACCTGAGAGGCGGAGGTTGCAGTCAGCCCAGATTGTGCCACTGAACTCCAGCCTGGTGACAGAGCAAGACTCTGTCTCAAAAAAAAAAAAAAAAAAAAAAAAATCAAAATGGATTAAGGACTTAAACCTAAGACCTGAAACTACAAAAATTCTAGAAGATAACATTGAAAAAACCCTTCTAGACATTGGGTTAGGCAAGGGTTTCATGACCAAGAACCTAAAAGCAAATGCAGTAAAAACAAAGATAAACAGCTGGGACCTAATTAAACTAAAGAGCTTTTGCATGGCAAAAGGAACAGTCAGCAGAGTAAACAGAAAACCCACAGAGTGGAAGAAAATCTTCACAATCTATACATCTGGCAAAGGACTAATATCCAGAATCTACAATAAACTCAAACAAATTGGTAAGAAAAAAAAAACAATCCCATCAAAAGTGGGCTAAGGACATGAACAGACAGTTCTCAAAAGAAGATATACAAATGGCCAATAAACATAAGAAAAATGCTCAACATCACTAATGATCAGGGAAATGCAAATAAAAACCACAATGCATACCACCTTACTCCTGCAAGAATGGCCATAATCAAAAATTCAAAAAACAGTAGAGGTTGGCATGGATGCAGTGAACAGGGAACACTTCTACACTGCTGGTGGGAATGTAAACTAGTACAGCCACTGTGGAAAACAGTGTAGAGATTCCTTACAGAACTAAAAGTAGAACTACCATTTGATCTAGCAATCCCACTACTAGGTATCTGCCCAGAAGAAAAGAAGTCATTATACGGAAAAGGTACTTGCATATGCATGTTTATAGCAGCACAATTCACAAGAGCAAAATCGTGGAACCAACCCAAATACCCATCAATCAACAAGTAGATAAAGAAGCTGTGGTATATATATATATGATGGAATACTATGCAGCCATAAAAAGGAATGAATTAACAGCATTTGCAGTGACCTGGATGAGATTGGAGACTATTATTCTAACTGAAGTAACTCAGGAATGGAAAACCAAACATCATATGTTCTCACTGATATGTGGGAGATAAGCTATGAGGATTCAAAGGCATAAGAATGACACAATGGACTTTGAGGACTTGGAGGGAAGAGTAGGAGCGGGGCAAGGGATAAAAAACTACAAATATGGTGCAGTGTATACTGCTTTGGTGATGGGTGACCAATATCTCACAAATCACCAGTAAAGAACTTACTCATGTAACCAAATGCCACCTGTACAGCAATAACATGAAAAAATAAAAAAATTAAAATAAAAATAGAATAAAGTCTTTATAATAAAAAAAATTCAAAAAGGCTGAATAATATTCCACAGTATGTATAGACATTTTATTTATCTGTTTATCAGCTGGTGGTCCCTTGGGTTGGTTGCTTCTACCTTTTGGCTATTGTGATAACACTGCTATAAATATAAGTGTACAAATATCTTTTCAAGACTTCACTTTCAGTTCTTTTGGGTGTAAACTCAGAAGTGAAATAGCTGGATCATATGGCAATTCTATTTTTAATTTTTTGAGTAACTGTCATACAGTTTTCCATAGCAGTGACAGCAGTTTGCATTCCTTTGAAAGAATATTTTATACATTCTGAGTGCACACCTTTTATTGATATGTGCTGCAAAAATTTCTCCCAGGCTGTGGTTTGCCTTATATTTTCAAAATATACATTTTGAAGGGCAAAAGTTTTTAAATATTATTCAATTTATCAATTTTTCTCATATTGTTTATCTTCTTTTTTTTTTTTTTTTAACAGAGTCTCACTCTGTCGCTCAGGCTGGAGTGCAGTGGCGTGATCTCCGCTCACTGCAAGCTCCACCTCCTGGGTTCATATTCACACCATTCTCCTGCCTTAGCCTCCTGAGTAGCTGGGACTACAGGCACCTGCCACCACACCTGGGTAATTTTTTTTTGTATTTTTAGTAGAGATGGGGTTTCACCATGTTAGCCAGGATGGTCTCGATCTCCTGACCTCGTGATCTGCCCACCTTGGCCTCCCAAAGTGCTGGGATATTTATCTTCTAAGTTGTCTACCCAGAACCTCAAAGATTTCTTCTTGTTTTCTTTTAGAAGTTAGTTTTACAATTGCAACTCTTGCATTTAGTCTGTGATTCACTTTGAGGTAAGTTTTGTGTATGGTATGAGGTAAGGGTCAATTTAGAGTCTTTTTCTATATGAATATTTAGTTGGGCTCACAATATTTGGTAACGACGTTTCTTTCCCCATTTATTAATCTCAGCATCTTTGTTGATGTCAATTGGCCATGAATGTGTGGGACTGTATTTCTGTACTTGTTGCGGGAAGTCAGGAACCCTGAATGGAGGGACTGGCTGAAGCCATGGCAGAAGAACATAAATTGTGAAGATTTCATGGACATTTATTAGTTCCCCAAATTAATACTTTTATAATTTCTTACACCTGTCTTTACTGCAATCTCTGAACATAAACTGTGAAGATTTCATGGACACTTATATCACTTCCCCAATCAATACCCTTGTGATTTCCTATGCCTGTCTTTACTTTAATCTCTTAATCCCATCATCTTCGCAAGCTGAGGAGGATGTATGTTGCCTCAGGACCCTGTGATAATTGCGTTAACTGCACAAATTGTTTGTAGAGCATGTGTGTTTGAACAATATGAAATCTGGGCACCTTGAAAAAAGAACAGGATAACAGCAATGTTCAGGGAACAAGAGAGACAACCTTAAACTCTGACTGCCGGTGAGCCAGGTGGAACAGAGCCATATTTCTCTTCTTTCAAAAGCAAATGGGAGAAATATCACTGAATTATTTTTCTCAGCAAGGAACATCCCTGAGAAAGAGAATGTGTCCCTGAGGGTGGGTCTCTGAAATGGCTGCTTTAGGGGTGGCTGTCTTTTACGGTCTCAGCTGTAGGGATGAAATAAGCCCCAGTCTCCCATAGCGCTCCCAGGCTTATTAGGATGAGGAAATTCCCACCTAATAAATTTTGGTCAGACCTGTTTTCTGCTCTCAAACCCTGTCTCCTGATAAGATGTTATCAGTGACAATGCATGCCTGAAACTTCATTAGCAATTTTAATTTCACCCCGGTCCTGTGGTCCTGTGATCTCACCCTGCCTCCATTTGCCTTGTGATATCTTACTACCTTGTGAAGCGTGTGATCTCTGTGACCCACACCCTATTCATACACTCCCTCCCCTTTTGAAAATCACTAATAAAAACTTGCTGGTTTTACGGCTCAGGGGGCATCATGGAAGCTGCCGACATGTGATGTCTCCGCCAGACACCCAGCTTTAAAATTTCTCTCTTTTGTACTCTGTCTCTTTATTTCTCAGACTGGCCAACACTTAGGGAAAATAGAAAAGAACCTACATGAAATATCGGGGGTGAATTTTGCCCGATATCTGGTGCCTTAATATTACTGCATGTGAGTTAACACAATCTCCCCAAATTAAAGTTTTAGATGGGCCCTCAACATTTTTAGGGCATGGTTTTCCTGCAGGTTTATATTGAAAGTATGGGTATCTCCCATTATGTACTCCATTGTTCCATTGACTTATTTCTGGCCTTTCACTAACACCAAGCTGTCTTGATTTTTACAACTCTGTAGTTAGTCTTGAAATCAGATAAGGCAAGTCTTCCAACTTTGTTCTTATTTATAAAAATAGTTTTATGTATTCTATGCCCTTGACTTTCCATGTACATTTGAGATTTTTCTTGCCAATTTATACAAAAACCTTAATGAAACTTAGGATTGTAGCCAATGTATAAATTAATTTGGTGAGAATTTTCATCTTAACAATATTAAGTTTTCCAATCCATGAATGTGATGTATTGCTCCTTTTATTTAGGTATTTTTTTTTCTCTTTTTCAGTAATGTTTTGAGGTATAGATTTTGAAAATTTTTGTTAGATTTTTCTTAAATATCATGTATTTTTCATGCTACTATGTGTGGAATTTTAAAATTTCCAATTTCCAGTTGCTTGCTGCCAATTTATGAATACAATTAATTTCTACAATTTATTTTAATTGGCAAACATTATATATATTTATGTGTACAACACAGTGTTTTAATTTATGTACACATTGTGGAATGGTAAATCAAGCTAATTAAGATATGCATTACCTCATGTACTTGTCAGTTTATTTGTAGCAATAACAATTAAAATCTACTCTTAGCAATTTTTAAGTATACAATATGTAGTCATATTGTTATTAACTATAGTCACCATGATATACAATAGAGCAGTTTAACTTTTTTTTTCTGTATAGCTGAAATGTTGTGTCCTTTGACTAACATCTCCCCAATTTCCCCACCCCCCAGCCTCTAGTGACCACCATTTTGCTCTCTATTTCTACCCTATTTCTATGAATTTGACTTTTTTAGATTCAGCATATGAGTGAGATCATGCAGTATTTGTCTTTCTGTGCCTGGTGGCTTATTTTATTTAATATGATGTCCTCCAGGTTTATCTATGTTGTGACAAATGACAAGATTCCTTATTTATTTCTTTCTTTATTTTATTATTATTATACTTTAAGTTTTAGGGTACATGTGCACAATGTGCAGGTTAGTTACATATTTATACATGTGCCATGCTGGTGTGCTGCACCCATTAACTCGTCATTTAGCATTAGGTATATCTCCTAATGCTATCCCTCTGCCCTCCACCTACCCCACAACAGTCCCCAGAGTGTGATGTTTTATTAAAGTTAAATAGTATTCCATTTTGTATGTATACCACATTTTCTTTATCCATTTATCTGTTAACAGACCCTTAGGTTGATTCCATATTTTGGTTATTGTGAATAGTGCTGCAATGAACATGGAAGTGCAGATATCTCTTTGACATCCTGATTTTATATCCTTTGGATATACACCCAGTAATGGGATTGCTGGGTCACGTGGTAGTTCTACTTTTAATTTTTTGAGAAACTGATTTTCGTATTTTAACCTATTTCCTGTAACTTTGCTAAAATCACTTCTTGCTTCTGGTAGATTTCTGAGATTTTTCTCAGAACAATCATACCTTCTGCAAATAGAAAAATAGGGATAGTTTTTATCTTTTTTTTTTTCACAATGTTTATGATTTTTCTTGATTAGTTTTGCCTTGTTATAATGACTAATACTTCCAATTCATTATTAAATACAAGTGGTTAAAGTGTGCCTCTTTGCCTTGTTTTTGATCTTAGGGGGAACAATTTAGTCTTTGTCCATTAGGCATGATGTTAGCTCTGGGTTTTTTGTAGTTTCCCTTTTTCAATTTAAAAATTTTATTCCTATTTGCTAGTTGGTTGAGAGATTTTAGATTGAATTTTGTCAAATGGTATATGTACGTGTATTGAAGTGATGAAATAGGTTTCTCTTTTATTCTTAATATAGTAAATTACATTGATTTTCACATGTTAAAGCAACCTTGAGTTCCTATAATACATTAATTAGTATTGATGCATTATTGGATTAAGTTTGTGAATATTTGGTTAAGGATTTTTTTTATCTAAAGGCATAAAATACCTCTATTGTATTATTTGTAATTGTAATATTCTCTATTTTTTGTAAAATTTAGTGTAAAATCAATGTTTTTTAGTTGTTATTATTATTATTATTATTATTATTATTATTATTATTATGAGACTGAGTCTTGCTCTGTTGCTTAGGCTGGAGTGCAGGGGCACCTTCTCAGCTCACTGCAATCTCTGCGTCCCGGGTTCAAGTGATTCTCATGCCTCAAACTCCCAAATATCTGGGACTACAGGCTTCCACCACCATACCTGGCTAATTTTTTATTTTTTTATTTTTTATTTTTTTGTATTTTTAATAGAGATGATGTTTTGCCATGTTGGCCAGGCTGGTCTCCAACACCTGGGCTCAAGCAATCTGCCTGCCTCAGAATCCCGAAGTGCTGGGATTACAGGCGTGAGCCACTGCGTCTGGCCAGTATTCTTTTTGACACTGAGTGTTTGATAGACTTCACCAGTGAAGCCATCTGGAACTGAAATTTTCCTTTTAGAAAGATTTTTGATAGTTAATTCAATTCCTTTAATAGCTGTTAGGTTATTCATATCATCTGTTTCTTCTTGTGTAAATTGTATTTTTCAAAAATTTTTTAAAATTTCATCTAAGTTTTCAAATTTGTTGGCACGAAATTATAATATATATTGTTATAATATATTATATATAAGATAATATTGTATATTATCTTATTATCCTTTTAATATCTTAGGGATCTGTGGTGTAAATCTCTTTTTCTTTCCTAATATTGGAGACTTGTATTCTCTTTCTTTTTATCTGATCAATCTAGCTAAGAATTTGTTGATTTTATTATCTTTTCAAAGAACTAAGTTTTGGCTTTGTTAATTTCCTCATTGTTTATCTGTGTTTTTATTACATTGATTTCTGTACTTACATTTATTATTTCTTCCTTTTACTTGTTTTAGGTTTACTTTCTACCTTTATTGCTTTTTAAGATAGAACTTTAAGTCATTTTTAATGTTTAATATGTACATTTAAACCTATAAATTTCCCTTTAGACACTGCTTTCCACAAATGTCGGCATGTTTTATTTTTGTTGTTTTCCATTCAAAATGTATCTTAATTTCTGTTGTAATATTGTCTTTGACCCAAGCATTATTTCAAAGCATGCTATTTAGTTTTCATATATGTGAAGTTTTCTGAGGTATCTTGTTATTGATTTCAAATGTAATTGTTTTGATCAGCAACTTGCTGTGCATGATTTTAAACTTTATGAATACTAATTTAATGGTCCAGCATATCATCTAATTTGGTGAGTATATCATGAGACATAAAAGAACATGAAATCTGCAATTGTTAAATATAGTATTCTATAAGTATCGATTAGGTGAAGGTGGTTTATAATGTTGCTCAACTATTCCATGACCTTACCAATTTTGTTTTATTTAATTATTCAATCCATTGCTAAGAGAAGAATGATATAATGCACTAGTATTATCTAGTTCTCCCTCTAACTCTATCAATTTTTACTCCATTATTTTGAAGCTGTTTCATTAAGCACAGTTACAATTTTTGTCCTCCTGTTGAACTTTTCTTTTATCAATATGAAATGTCCCTCTTTACGTCTGACAATTATTTTTTGTCTTGAAGTGTATTTAGTCTGCTATGAATTTATTTACCATAGCCTTCTCATACTTATTATTTGCATGGTATGTGGTTTCCCATTCACTTAGTTCTAACCTCCTTGGGTATTTTTATTTAAAGGATTTTCCTTATAGGTAGTACTTACTTGCTTCAATTTAGTTCTACTCCCTTAATTTTTTTGTTTTCTGTTTTTCTTTTCCTCTCTTCCCACTTTCTTTCCTTCTTTTGGATTATTTGAATATTTAAAATATTTTAATTGACTTCTCAGCATTTTTGGTTCTATTTCTTTGCACTGTTTTCTTATTGGTGGCTTATTGGGGATTATAATATACATATTTAATCTTTCATAGTCCACTTAGAGCTAAAATTGTACCATGTCGCATAAATGTAGAAACCTAGCAAAAAGGTCCCATTGCCCAAACCCACTCTGGTTTACACTAAATTTTTATACTTATTAACTGTATGTATTTTGACAACCCCGTCATATGTTATACTTTTGCTTTAAATATTTTCATATATAAACTAAAGAGTTAAATGTAGTGTTTAAATTAAGCTAGATATATACTATTTTTGAGCCTCTTTTTCAACTTCTGAAGATCGTAGTTTCCCTCTGGGGTCATTTTTCTTCAGTTGGAATAAACTCTTTTACCATTCTTTATAAACAGGTTTGCTGATAACAAATTCTCTTAGTTTTACTTTGTCTAAAAATGTTTCCTCTGAAACGTTGAAGGATACTTTATGTAGGGATAAAATTTTGTTTTAAATTTTTCACTTACAGTCCTTTGTAAACATTCTCCATTTTCTTCTGACAAGAAATTTACAGCAGCATATCATATTTTCTCTAGTTGTTTCTCATACTTTATCTTTGATGTTTAACAGATTGATTATGATGTATGCAGGCACTGATTTCTTTGAAATTACCCTATTTAGATTTGCTGAGCTTCTTAAATTGTAAATTTGTAAATTTATGTCTTTCACCTAATTTGGGATTGTTTCATTATTTCTTCAAATATTATTTCTTCCCAATGTAGTCGCAGTGGAATTCAAATTATATTTTGTTTTTAATATTATCTCACAGGTTTCTGAGACTCATTTAATTTTTTTATCAATTTTTTTCTGTTTTCCAAATTGGATAATTTCTTCTATGAACCATCCTCAAGTTAACTGACTTTTTCTCTTCAATTCCATTCTTATATTAAGTCCATCTGATACATTTTTAATTCAGATATTTTATTTTTAAATTATTAAATTTCTTTTGTACCTATATGTAGTTCCATTTCCCTGTGGAAATTTTCTGTCTTTTCATGTATTAAAAAAAATCATTTTTTTCCATATTGTTCTTTGTTATGCTTGCTGTTTTAAACTCTTTGTCTGATAATTCCAACATCTGCTCATTATTTTTTTCCCCTCCAGTTTTTCAGGTTCTTTTTCTGTTGAATAAGTTTGATATGTATCCTCACATTGTAATTGTTGTATTGTGTAGTCACTGGGTTCTGCTACAATCCTCTGGAAAATCTTGGGTTTTGGTGTTAGCTGGATACTAATTCAGTTAGTTCAGACTGCAAATTCTCTTTCACCTCGTGTTTAGTTTTTCAAATCTCAGTTTAGTTCTCAAAGACTTTGCTATGAAGATTCAAATTCTTCCATTTGATTTTAAAGATAAAAAATCCTATTTATCTGCTGAAGTTCTGATTTTATAATGGAAATTAATTTTATAATGGAAATTAAACTTTATAATGGAAATTTAAAATTTTTGTCATATTGTCATTGTGCATTTTAATTAAAAAAGTATAATGGAAATTTAAAAATTTACTTAATGTCATTGTGCTTATTAATCACAAATATCTTAAATACCATGTTTAATACCTCTAATAGCTCTACTTTTTTGGTCTATTTCTTTATATTTTTCCTTTCGGTTTTTGGTTACCTGTTTTTGTCCTGATAATGCCTGGTAATTATTTCTTAAATGTACAACATTACATAATGTTATATAAACCGTTTTAAAGAAATTTGAGGCTATGATGTTATTTTCCTAGACAGTCTATATATTTTTTTTCCTTTTGGGCAGTGGTTATCACTTTTTCCAGTGATTGAGTTTATTTGAAACTGATCTTCAGTCTTTGTGAAAGATGGTTAATTCTAGTTAACCTTTTGGGATTATTTTTGAGAATCCCAAGCAAACAGCTGTTATGGTTATCAGACTCCTTCTCTTTAGAGATCCTGAACCATAATCACATAAAACTGTTGGAATCTCTTCTCAGTTTTTCTCACCCACAATTTCTTGTTTATCTTCTCAGCTTGTTAGCCACTGCTTTAGAATCAGCAAATGTTTCAATAGGAAAAGTAGACTCAAACTGTCACGTTCTCTTTCTCTTCACATTTGGCCTCTCATGTCTTTGCTACCTTGGTAGTTTTCCAATGTACTTAAACAGATGGTTTTTTTTTTGTTTGTATTTTTTTCTAAATTTTATAGTTGTTCTCAAAATGAGAAATTGTCTGTGAGAGACAGGTTTACCAGTACTAAAAACAGAAATCTCTTTGTAGTTAACTTTTTATCTACAGATAAATCTTTGTGTATATTGCGTATGGATTGAATGTTTAAAAAATAGAAAATTGTGATTATCATTTAAAAATATTAGATATTATATTTTAACATCATCATATTTATCCTCATGAACATCACAATCATCATCGTCATCATCCTAGGCAAAGTGGATCACATAAGGAAAGCCAAACAAAACAAATTTTCTAAAAATACAAAGCAATTTAGTCTGACTTGGGCATAAATGTTGAGACAGGAACCATGAAAGTAGCAGTTGGAATCAGATCATAGTTGGCACCCTATATCCAGAAAAAATTTGAAACTTATGCTCTGAGGCATGTAGAGCCTTTGAAAGGTATAAAGCAGATGATCAGTGATGGCCATATAATTTTTAGAAGAGCGAGTTTTAGATTTCATATTATTGAGGGGACTCCTGCCACTTAGTGGGAGGGTATCTGGGATTCTACTTCCCTTCAATGTGTAGGATATTTTCATAATGCAAATAAATTTTTCTTTCCCTCATGTGACTTTCAAATGTTGGATGTTCATTTACATTAAAACTGAGTTATAATAATCTGAACCTAGACTTTAACTCTGTTTTATATTTAAGTGCATACTATTTGTTTTAATATATATGAAATTTTCCAGGAATGCAACTACCATGTAAATACAAAAAGATTTTTATTGCATTGCTGGTAACTTTATCAAGAGTTGTATATTTTTAAAGGAATTATGTCCTAAATGTCAGTGCTGCACATGCTATTTGTTCACAACCACACATATCTGCATGCAGCTGTATTTGTCCATTTATCCATTGAGATTCTACATGTGGGTCCAGACAATAATGTACTTAATTATGTCTTTGGGTATATTAGTGCCTGAGCATTTGTATATGGAAATATCATATCACAAATTACACTTATTTTATTTCATTGTTAGTGTTTTTATGTTATTTTATTAGTTTTTGAAATTAAGCCCACTGATATGTTAAAATATCTATAAATTTGAATTTAGAACAGCAAAACTATATTAAAAAGCAAATCATATTAAAAGGAGATGTTATGTCCCACAGTGCCATTGGTTGGAAGCACTGTTGTAACATGTATTTTTATTGCATAAAAATCATTCCTATGGCTATGCACGAAACATATATATCATGGATAAAGTAAAAGAAAGGGTGACCAGCTTAGTGACCATTATATTAAATCATGCAAGGTAAAATTCTGAAAAAATCAATGAGTGTGGTGATAGAGAGAAAGAGATGTATTGGTGGTATATGAAAAAGTACAAATGGAAAGAAAGTAGGACTTGAAGCAAATCCAAGTTGGGAAAATGTTTTGTCCTATATAGACTTCAAGATACCAATGTTTTTTAACATAAAAGGCTAGGTATGCATAGTCCTAGAAATGTGTGTGTACAAGGCAGCTTTGCTGTTTTCTAGCTCTGTAGAAACTCTTGTTACTGCACCTAGTTGTCACCAATAGACTCCAAAAACACGCATATGCCAAAAAAACCTCAGTATCTTCCTACTTAAGCATTTTATCCCTATACTTTCATTACTGATGGTTGATGCCATTACCAACTATTTAGTTGCTCAAACTGAAAATCAACATTATGGTTTTTTATCGTAACCACAATTCACCTTTCACCAAGTTCTATTGGGTATTGATATGGTTTGTATCTGTGTCCCTACCCAAATCTTGCTGAGACCATCGGTCTTGGAGACCCTAACCCAGCGGTGTTAGAGGAATTAAAGACACACACACAGAAATACCGAGTGCAGAGTGGGAATCAGAGTGCTGACAGCCTTCAGATCTGAGAGCCATGAACAAGTTTTATCCCCATATTTATTAAGAGCAAGCCAGTGATAAGCATTCTTTCTATAGATTATAGATTAACTAAAACAGGAAACAAAGGGATGGGCTCTGGCTAGTTATCTGCAGCAGGAACATGTCCTTAAGACCCAGATCTGTCATGCTATTGTTTGTGGTTCAGGAACGCCTTAAGTGGTTTTCTGCCCTGGGTGGGCCAGGCGTTCCTTGCCCTCATTCTGGTAAACCAACAACCTTCAGTGTGGGCATCATAGCCATCATGAGCATGTCACAGTGCTGCAGAGATTTTGTTTATGGCCAATTTGGGGGCCTGTTTATGGCCAGATTTGGGGTCCTGTTCCCAACAAAATCTCATGTCAAATTATAATCCCCGATGTTGGAGGCAGGGCCTGGTTGGAGGTGATTGGATCATGAATGGTTTAGCACCATCCTCTTGGTGATGCTCTCGTGAGAGTGAGTTCTTGTGAGATCTGATTATTTGAAAGTGTGTAGTATCTCCTCCCTCACTCTCTCTCTCTTGCTCCTGCTCTGGCCATGTAAGACAGCCTGCTCCCACTTGGCCTTCCACCATGAGTGTAAGCTCCCTGAGGCCTCCCAAGAAGCAGGTGCCTCCTGTACAGCCTGCAGAACTGTGAGCCAATTAAACCTCCTTTCTTATAAATTACCCAGTCTCAAGTGTTTCTTTAAAGCAATGCAAAAATTGGCTAATACAGATACTCTTTAGAAAGGTTCATCATTTATCTCATTTCTCTCCTTACTGCCCTGTCTACCAAGTATAGGTCCTTGCCATCTTTCATTAGTCTCATGAAACTGCCTTCCAAAAGGTTTATGTGTCTCCAGACTTTACAACCCAAACTGATTCTGTCCATTGTGTAGAGTTGCTTAAAACTTCAATCAAATTATGTTTTTCTCCACTTAATACACATTAACCAGTGGATGCTTCCTGACTCCCTTTTACTTTAGGTGAAACATTTGCAACTTTTATAATCTAAGATGGGTTCCAAAACAATTTTCTATTTTATCTTCTAACTATTCTTTCTCTTTGTCCAGTCCTTGGCTCTCACCATAGTAGATCATTTTGAATTCACCAAGCACATCATGTACAATCCCCATTCCATACTTTTGTTTTCTTCTTCATGCATTCCAGAGGCTTAGTGCTGGGTCCATTGTCCTTTATCAATTGTAGATTAAATAGGGTGTTTATGGTTACTTCAATAAAAAGTATTGGGCATCATGCTGTTGGTAAGAAGCATAATTGCCCATTATGTCACCTTATTCCCTGTGAAAATAAACTCTAACTTGTATCTTTTGACCTCGTACTCTTATATAGAACAAAATTTTCTTAAGGCTAACAAGCGTCTATTTCAACCAAATCAGACAAAAGTAGTAAATTATTCCTGCTAAACAGATTGTAGTCCTCAACAAAGCCCATAAAATGTGTTTAGCTTAATCAACTATTATTGGAAATGAGAATCATTTTCAAATTGCTCCAAAGGAAAACAAACCAACAAACTTGTAAACATGTACTTGGCACAGAAATTCAGCTTAATTGAGCTGAAATTTTAAAGAGAGAGAGAGTGAAAGAGAGCTAGAGTGAGAAGCATGTTTGATGAGGGCTGGAAAACCTACATGTCAGCAATAATAAACTTGTTATTTAATAAGGTTAATAATAGATAAAGTAACCTAAAGATGAATTGTTATCACAGTTGACGACCGTTTTATTAAAATGTTAATGGCCTGAGGCAAAAGCAAACTGTTCTCTTAATCTGCCAGAGAACTGCTTTTTTTTTTGTTTTAAGGGATTATCATACCCCATAGCACATGAGATTTGAACAAGCCATGATAAGCATATTTGAAATTTGGACTAGACACCACTCCTGAGATCTTAACTTGACTTAAACTATGAATGCCTTTCACATGCTCATTCATGGTCATACCTCTTCCTGTTATCAGCAAAATGTATGACACATTTTCACACACGGAAATTTATTGAAAGAAATTTCTATATATGAGTTTCATTTTTCTTTTCAAGGTTGAAAGGCATAACTAGCGAGGTTTTCTTTTGTTTTGTTCTGTTTCTATTTGTTTGTTTTTTTTTCTTCTCACCTACCTCCACGCACATAATAGCAAGCAAAAGACATTCTCTAGCAAATGCAATTGCCCACACCATACAATGGGCCTTTTCTATAACGGCTGGACTAAAAATGAAAGTATTCAGCAGCACTGTCAAGGACAATCAAGTGAGTCAACCCAAAGCTGACTGTGTATAAATGTGATGAATTACATTGTGATTTGTTTGGGCCCATAACTAGAACCCTGAAAGACCTCTGTCAGATAATAGTGTTTTCTACCAATGTGATATTAGCTCAGATCACAAAGAAAACAGAATTCACATTCAATTCTTTCTTATCAACATTTTTCACAATTTTTTACTTATAGATATATAGCTATATGTAGTGTATGTTAGTGAAAAAAATGCAAATTATAAATATGACATAATATTAACTGTAGTATTGTGTCTCTGAAAGAGGAATAATAATAACTATTCAATATATTTTACATTATAAGTGATTTTACATTGTAAGTGATGGGCAGTTGCAAGAAGATGAAGTTGACAGTTATGAAAAGCTGTCATGCTAGAGTGAGAGGAGCATCAATTCAGGGCAGGAAAAGACCTGGAATCTACCTTTTCTAAGGAGGGCTAGTGAACACCCAAGGTCACATGCTAGAGTTTTAATACAGAAATCCCATAAGATAGACAGAAGCAAAAATCTTCATAAGTCTAAATATGAAGAAAAAATAGAAAATCCAAACAACTGCTAGCTCCAGGGAGTAGGAAGTAGTCTATAAGACCCTGAAGTATGATCAGCACAAGCAAATTGGGCTGTAGCATCTGATCTTGTTTTTATGTTCCTCATACATTGGAGAAAACGGTAGGGTAGACATTTTGAACCTAAAAGCAATTATCTATATCTTTAATGACAATATTTTTATTGTTGGTTTTCTGACTATAAAAAATACATAGTTTTAAAAACATTAGGAGTTTGATTATGTGTAATTCATAAATATGTTTTCATGCTAATAAATACATCATTACCTACTGGGGTAAAAGGAAAACATGGCCATAGTGTTTTTTAGCTTCTCCCATCAAAAGGCAAAACTAATTCTTTTCCTTCCCTCCCTTTCTCCCTTCCTTCTTTCCTTCCTTCCTTCCTCCCTTTCTGTTTCTCTCCTTCCTTCCTTCTTTCTTTTTCTTTCTTTCCTTTCTTTCTTTCTTTCTTTCTTTCTTTCTTTCTTTTCTCTTTCTTTTTCTTTTCTTTTTTCTTTTCTTTCTTCTTTCTCTCTCTCTCTTTCTCTCTCTTTCCTTCTTGTTGAAATGCATAGTTTTAAAAAATCATCCACATTTTTGTTTATTTCGTGTTTTGCTTGCTATTTTTGAAGCTATAAATATACATTTTATTTGCATTTTTGGTAAGCCTTAGTAAAAAATTATTTGCAGTTTTAAATACAAAGTCGTTTGAAAAAACACCATGAATGTTCATGTACCCATTAACAAATTCAATAATAAAAAGTTACTAATAGAGTTGAAGACTTTAATACTAATAGAACCCACCTTGTCTGCCCACTGCTCATAGAGCACACCATGATTCACTTATGCAGTCTTATATATATAATATCCACTTTTTGGCTACTACTTACAGTCCTGCTAGAAACTTTCTTTTACATGTCTTTTGGTACATACATATATATGACAGGTTTATATACATAGAAGTGATATCGCTGTTCATAGGATATGAAAAGTTCAGCTTTTTGTTGATGTTCCCAAATACTTTACAAAGAGTTTCAAAGAATTTGTGCTGCTGCCCACACAGAATAAGAATTCCGGTTATTTAAAATTCCTTGACAAAACTTGAAATCATCATTTTTTTCACTAGTCATTCTATTTGGTTTGTATACTTTTTGGTTTTAATTTGTATTTCCCTTATACATAATGAAATTGAGAACTTATCATTGGCCCTTGGGACCATTTTGATATTTTACTTGTATAATTTGATATTTAAAAATTTATTTGAAGACCTTTGATGTTTATTAAGGGATAAACAAAAATTTACATTCTATATAGCACACTTCAAAAATTTGCAGGCTAATGCCAATATAGCCGTGTGCTATGTAACGACATTTGGCCAGCAATGGACCCTAAGATTATAATGGAGATGAAAATCCCTATCTCTTAGTGGCACTATAACTGTCTTAATGTCATATTACGACACATTACTCACATGGTCGTGGTGATGCTGATGTAAACAAACCTACTGCCAATTGTATAAAAGTATAGCACATACTATTATCTATAGTCTACAATATTTTATAATAATAAACAACTATGTATTTGGTTTGTGTATTTATTATGCTTTTTGTCATTATTTTAGAATGTACATCTTCTACTTATTAAAAAAGTTAACTGTAAAAGAGCCTCAGGCAGTGCCTTCTTCTGGGATACTTCTTCAGTATCCCAGAAGAAGGCATTGTTATCATAGAAGATGACAATTTCATGCATGTTATTGCCTCTGAAAGCCTCCCAGCGGGACAAGATGTGGAGGTTGAAGACAACGATAGTGATGATCCTGTTCCTGCACAGGCCTGGGTTCATGTGTGTGTTTGTGTATTAGTTTTTAACAAAAATTTGAAAAGTAAAAAAAAAAAACAACTTTAGAATAAATATATAAACAAAGTATTTTATAGCGATACAATGCGTTTGTGCTTTCAGTGAAATGTCATTATAAAAGGATCAAAAAGTTAAAAAAATTTAAAAGTAGATAAAGTAAAATAGTTATAGTAAGCTAAGGTTAATTTATTATTAAATAAAGAAAAAAATTAAGTAAATGTCATGTAGCCTAAGTGTACGGTGTTTGTAAAGTCTACAGTAGTGAACAGCTAATGTCCTAGGCCTTCACATTCACTCACCACTCATTCACTGACTCACTCAGAGCAGCTTTCAGTCCTGCAAGCTCCATTTGTGGAAAGTGTCCTATACAGATGTACCATTGTTTTTTGTCTTTAAACAGTATTTTTACTGTACATTTTCTGCTTAGATATACAAATATCGTTGTGTCCAATTGCCTGCAGTATTCAGTATGGTAACATGCTGTATATGTTTATAGCCTAGAAGCAATAAGCTACAGTATAGACTCAGTGTGTAGTGGGCTATATCATCTAGGTTTGTGTAAATACACTCTATAATGTTCATGCAACCACAAAATCACCTAATGAAGCATTTCTCAGAAGGTATCCTCATCATTAAGAGACTGTAATTTGTCTATAGATTCTTGTGAATTTTATGAGACTAGTTTTATTTCCTTCCTTCCTTCTTTCCATTCTTCCTTCATTTCTTTCTTTTTCCTTTTTTCCTTTTTCTACTAGCTATGACCTTTAATAAAATATCAAATAAAAGTAGTGGTTGAAATCCGAGGGGGATTTCTGTATTTCACCATTGAACTAGTTTTAACTGTTTATATCTTTTAGTCTTAATTAGATTAAGGGAGTTCCCTTTTTCTTCCCAGTTTGCTAAGGATTTTATGATGAGTGGATGTGACGGTTAATACTGAGTGTCAACTTGATTGGACTGAAGGATACAAAGTATTGATCCTGGGTGTGTCTGTGTGAGTGTTGCCAAAAAAGATCAGCATTTGCGTCAGTGGTGTGGGGAAGGCAGATCCACCCTCAATCTGGTGGGCACAATCTAACCAGCTGCCATCGAATGTAAAGCAGGCAGAAAAACGTGAAAAAGAGAGACTGGCCTAGTCTCCGAGCCTACATCTTTCTCCCATGCTGGATGCTTCTTGCCCTCGAAAATCAGACACCAAGTTCTTCAGCTGTGGGACTCAGACTGGCTCCCCTGCTCCTCAGCTTGCAGACAGCCTATTGTGGGACCTTGTGATTGTGTAAGTTAATAATTAATAAATTCCCATAAAAATATGATATATATATCCATATGAGATATATATCCATATGATATATGGATATATATCATATGATATATGGATATATATCATATGATATATATATCTCATATATATATCTCATATATATATCTCATATATATCATATGATTATATATCTCATATGATATATATGATATATATATCTCATATGATATATATGAGATATATATCATATGAGATATATGATATATATCTCATATGATATATATGTCTATATGATATACATGATATATATGTCTATATGATATACATGATATATATGTCTATATGATATACATGATATATATGTCTATATGATATATGTCTATATGATATATATGATATATGTCTATATGATATATATGATATATGTCTATATGATATATATGATATATGTCTATATGATATATATGATATATGTCTATATGATATATATGATATATATGTCTATATGATATATATGATATATATGTCTATATGATATATATGATATATATGTATCTATGATATATATGATATATATGTATCTATGATATATATGATATATATGTATCTATGATATATATGATATATATGTATCTATGATATATATGATATATATGTATCTATGATATATATGATATATATGTATCTATGATATATATGATATATATGTATCTATGATATATATGATATATATGTATCTATGATATATATGATATATGTATCTATGATATATATGATATATGTATCTATGATATATATGATATATATATATCTATGATATATATGATATATATATATCTATGATATATATGATATATATATATCTATGATATATATGATATATATATCTATGATATATATGATATATATATCTATGATATATATGATATATATATCTATGATATATATCCTATTAGGATATCTATGTATCTATATGACTAATAGGATATCTATATATATGATATCTATATATCTATATATCTATATAACTAATAGGATATATATATATTATATATATCCTATTAGTTCCTATATAGGAGATCTATATATATATATTCTATTAGTTCTATTCCTCTAGAGAACCCTGACTAACACAGTGGACATTAATTTTTAGTTAACTTTTAAATCAAAATATAACACATACACAGAAGTGTACAACTTATAAAGATACAACATAGGTGTACCAATAAATTCACATTATCAGTAAAACTTGGTATTATCTGTTATTTTCTTGTGGTATTATAGTGGGTATGGAATAGTAGTAACAGTTTAGTTTACATTTTACTTTTTTTTTTTTTTTTGAGACCAAGTTTTCCTCTTGTCACCCAGCGTGGAGTGCAATGGCAAGATCTCAGCTCAATGCAACCTCTGCCTCTTGGGTTCAAGCAATTCTCCTGCCTCAGCCTCCAGAGTAGCTGGGATTACAGGCGCCCTCCACCACACCTGGCTAATTTTTGTATTTTTGGTAGAGACAGGGTTTCACCTTGTTGGCCAGGCTGGTCTCAAACTTCTGAGTTCAGGTGATTCGCCTGTCTTGGCCTCCCAAAGTGCTGGGATTACAGGAATGAGCCACTATGCCTGGCCTACATTTTACTATTAAGTGATGACATTGAGCATATTTTTTCTCTGCATATTGACCATGTGGATATCCTCCTTGGTAAAGAGATAAAGTTTTTCTTCCATTTTTCTATTTGATATTCTGTCATATTCTTATTGATTTGTAGGTTTTCTTTTTATATTCTGATGTGAATTATTTGTCAATTCTATGCATTGAAAACATCTTCTGTGCTCTATGACTGGTCTTTGCACTTTTGTTAGTGGTGTCTTTTGATAAACAGCCATATTTAATTTTATAGTAATCTAATTGAAATTTCTTTTTGTTGATAGTTATTGACTTGGGGTTCTGTTTGATTGTATCTGTATTAGCATTATGAATACATTCTCCTAAGCTACCTTTTATAAAACACATATGCATGCAGGCACATATTTACTCTTCACACTTACACCTATAATCTGCCTGGGATTTATTTATGTGTGGAGTGAGAGTGGCTAATTTTTTTTTCCTAGTTGATATTCATTTAATGTAGCTCAATTTCCTGGAACAACAATTCATTATCCACTGCTGGATTCTTTTTTTTTCTTCATCCATTTTCCTAGCCCTGTACCAACATCACATTTTCTGATTTATAATTTTGGAAATAAATATTTTTATCTTTTAGATTGAGTCCTCCTGCTTTGTTCTTTTTCAATATTGCCAAGTCTTTTGTTTTCCTTTACCAATTTCAGAATCTGTTTTGTTGATTTAAGCAACAACTCTCTTGAAATTTTGATTGTAATTACATTTAATCTGTAGATGAATGTGGTATATTTGATGACATTCCTATACTAGAAAAAATGCACAAAAGCAAAAATATATAGAGTGTAGAAATGGGCACATGGGAGATCACAATATTGAAGTGTTCATTCATGAATTTAAAAATAACTATAATCAATATTTTCAAGAAAATGGAGCAAAAGAGAATTTTGGCAGAAAATTGGAAGCTCTAAAAGGTATCAAATAAAAAGGAAATAATAGAAGCTTAAAACTACAGTAACTAAAAATAAAAATCCAATATCCAAAGAAAAGCCCTTCTGAACAAAACAAAACAAAACAAAAAACTAAACTACATCTCTGGAAAAAAAGGAAAGAAAATCCTGAAGAGAATATGAGACCTGTGGAACACATATATATAAAACGAGTATAATTGGAGTCCCAGAAAAAGAGAAAGACAATTTAAAATTTAAATAGTTGAACAATTTTCAAAGTCCACTAAAGACATCAAGCTATAGATTTAAACGTTGTATATTTTTAATGTAGGTATATTAAAGAGAAACAACACCTATGTGCATCATAGTTACACTATCATTGTAATTTCTGAACATAGAATCAGAAAGTCTAAAACAAAGTACTAGAAATCCAGATTAATAAGTAAACGATAATGCATCATTATAAATATTTTATTTCAGAAATGCAAAATTAACTCAACGTTATAATATAAATGAAATAATCAAATATAGAAAAACCGTATGACCACATAAAATATATAGAAAAAACATTTGATTAAATTCAACATTCAATCATCATAAACCATTTAGCAAACTAAGGAAGGAGGATAACTTCCTTAATTTGGTATAGAGTGTCTTTAAAACTTTACAGATAATATCACACTTAATGGTGGAATATTGAGATGCTCTTCTCTTAGATTTAGTGTGAGAAGAAATGCTATCAACATTTTTATTCTTTATAGTCCTGGAGGTCCTAGTCAGTGCAATCAAACAAGGGAAATAATATAAGGATTATAGATACAATTGTTCTTATTGTCAGATAACACTATTGTGAATTTAGATAACTCAGTTCACAGTTAGAATATTCAAGCTAATCAATTAACTTAACAAGTTTCTGGCTTACAAGTTCAATATAAACATTAGTGAAGTTCCACATTCCACCAACTACAAAATAATGTCACTTGTAATAGCATCAAAATGCATACAAATAAGAAGCTGGAAGCAAACTAGATGTTCAGCAAGTTAGATATATTTTGATATTTCCATACTCAAGAGTTACTATGTAGAAAAATGTTGAAAAGAATAAAGTAGATCTATAATATTGAATTAGAAAGATTTATAATGATATACATGTATATTTTTAAAATCCGTAGTGGCTTAAGTATCCAGTAGAAAGTATAAAATTATGTTGTCAGTCAATAAATAAATGTATTCTGGTATAGTTTGGATATTTGTCCTCAACAAAATCTCATATTGAATTGTAATCCTCAATGCTGGAAGCGGGGCCTGGTGTTTGGGTCATGGGCGTGGATCTCTCATGGCCTGGTGCTGTCTTCTTGACAGTGAGTAAGTTCTCATGAGATCTGGTTGTTAAGTGTGTGGCATCTCCTGCCTCTCTCTCTTGCTCTGGCTCTGGCCATGTGATGTATCTGCTCCCCCTTCACCTTCCACCATGACTGTAAATTTCTAGAGGCCTCCTCAGAAGCTGAGCAGATATCAGCACCATGCTTCCTGTAAAGCCTGTATAACTATGAACCAATTCAAACTATTTTCTTTATAAGTTACCCACTCTCAGGTATTTCTTTATAGCCATGCAAAAATGGCCTAAGGCATATTCAAAATGAATAGTGAAAATAAATACTGATTTTAATTATAGGACTTATGCACAAACTTTGCTTAGTACACCCATTTTCTCTACTTCTTATAAAGGTTTTCTTTTTCTGTACTGAAAGTTTGGATTTCCTATATTAATCTATTCCTCTCTTACAAAGATTAAAATGATCTAGTGTAGGGAATTAGAATATCCTTTAAAATATCATAATAGAAATTCTGAGTAGAAAAGTGGGAGGAGGAGAAATGTAGATCACTTTCTATTTTGGCAGCCCATAACCTGTGGAAAGACGGCAAGAAACATTCGTTGAAACTTCTGAACTCCAAATCCTGCGCTAATTAAATGCTTCATATGTATCAACTGTCTTTATCCTCTTTGGTAATGCATGTTACTGTACTCTTTGTACAAAAGAAGAATATGACATTTAAAGAAGTCTGGAAATTTGTCTAAAGTCAAAAGTCGTGAACTTATCTGAGATCTTCTCTGTGGGACTAAAAAGTCCAGGCTCATTCTTTATCCCAAAGCTACTTATATTATGTATATCTCAACCACCTAGAGATCTTGGTAAAATGTAGGTTCTGAATCGGTAAGGGTGGAGTGCAAAATACTGCTTTTTCAACAAACTCTTAGGTGGTACCAATGCTGAAAGTCCAAGGTGCACACTAGGAGCAGCAAAGCAGTTTACAACTTATTGCACGACATTTTGATGCAGGCAAACCCCCATATCAGGGCTCAGCTTGGGAGGGTTCTTGGCTTCACTCAGGAAAAAATTCAAGAGTGAGCCAACAGTGGAAGAAAGCGATTTTATTAGAGCGATAGCATGCAGCAAAATTGCTGCTCCGTAGACAGAGCAGGGGTATCCCACAGGCAGAGTAGCACTCCTGGATTGCTGGCTAGCTATATTTACACCTACTTCTAATTATATGCTGAATCAGGGGAGGATTATTAATGAGCTTTCTAAAAAAGCATCAGGGAGTTCCCAGAACCATATATGGAAACTTCTGGCCATTGCTATGTCATTTGTAAACTGCCATGGTGTTGGTGGGAGTGTCTTATAGCATACGAATGTATTATAATTCCCAGTCCTAGCTGGTTGGCTGGTTTCTTTGCTACATCCTGTTTTGATCAGCAGGGTTGTGAAAACAAGTCCTGTTGACCTCCTACCTCATTTAAATTAATAAAATAATTGAAATGCAAAATAGCATTTGTAATAAAACCTAAAGAATAATTATATAAAATGTGAAAGGTAAGTATGTAAAATAGATACAGTTGTTACATTGGTAAAACTCAGGTGTTTTCACAGAATTTTTGAATTCTCTGTGAATCTAGGACTTAATTGCTCTAAAAGTGTTTGCTTAGCCATTTCAATTTATGGTTATATTTCTTTCTTGTTCTGATGCGTTGGTAGAGATTAATTTGGTTTTTATTTTCGATCATTGACTTAGCTAGAAATAATCATTTCCAAAAGTAAAAGTACATTTTAAAAAAAGGACCAAGATTAATAATTCAGGAATTATAATACGAATTAGATGGGAAGGGAATGTATTCTCTTAAAAGAAATATTTCACCCTGAACTTCTTACAAGTTGCTGTTACATATTGCCTAGAGATCACTTTTGAGTTGAAAAAGTGGTATTTTTGTATACAGTAATCCAAGAATCGTTCTGACCCCTATTCCTTACAGCTAAATAAACTGCAAGGCATGCAGTCTTTGGTGTTCTGCCAGCAGGAGCATTGAGATAAGAATTCCCACTATGAACACCGTGTTATCCTTTTGCCACTATCTACTGATTAAACCTCAAAGGCCCTTTCAAACTGTCAGGGAAAGCACACACAAGGCGTTCTATGTGGATATGTGTGGCAGGGAAGGGCAGGGAGTTCTTGAATTCTACGTTTTGTGAATACCTGACTTTCATCCTTAAAGCACCTTGTGTCCCAGTTTTTGGACATAGTGCAGGATTGTAGCTAGGAAGCTGCGGGACATAGACTGCTAGGAAGGCTTCTGGTAATCAAGGAAACACCAGGTGCATACTGTAACTGGAACTCAGGGGAAATTATTAGACTCTAGCATATGAGGCAGTTGAGGGTCAAGTCCAGGGCTAAGTAGGAGGGAGCTTAAGTTTGATTAGCAAATAAACAACTTAAACCTATTAGGTCACAGGTGGCAGGAATCTTATATTATCAGCAAAGGGAAAATATGTATCACAAGGGAGGCACTCCGAACTGGAATGTGTAATAGACGTTTTCATCAGTTAGATAAGGGTGGGGAGGGGAGAAGTTTAGAAATAACTTTTTAAAAATATGTCAATTAGATTCTCAGATGGTGAACAAAAGTGTCTGTGGATTTAAACACAAGTAATATCACTCAGAAAGCTGGATCATTTAATGTTATAGATACCCTGAGCAAGGGAGATTTTTTTTGTGTGTGTGTGAAGACAGAGTTTTGTTATGTTGCCCAGGCTGGAGAACAGTGGCTATTCACAGGTGTGAACATAGCACATTACAACCCTGAACTCCTGGGCTCAAGTGATCCTCCTGCCTCAGCATCCTGAGTAGCTGAGACTATAGGCATGTGTTACTGTGCTTGGCTCTCAGCAGGGATTCTTAATTCTGGTGGGAATAATAGTTTGCTGGGGTATCTGCCTGGTTGACAGACATTTGCCTGAGACCTCATTTATCTAAAGATGGTTCTTGAGTTTTGAGGTTATCTCTGCTTGAAGATCTGGACTGGTGAGTTGTGATTTATAGGAAGGGATGACTGAGAGAGAAGAGAGAGACTGTGATAGCTGGGGAGCAGTCTGACATTCTCTCACTAACAAGGCCCTAGTCGCCCCTATGGTGGTTACCCCACCTGCCTTAAGGCAGAGATATAGCTGTTTGGTCCTTCCTTACCCAGGGGCTTTGAAACTGGCTTTGAAACAATAAATATGAAATCATATTTATTGCAGGGCTTCTCTTCTAGATTTCACAACAAATACTCTGCGGACGTTGCTTATAATATATCATACACCTGAATGAGAGACGTCAGGGAAGAAGACGTATACTTTTTCCCTCATTTAGAGATCAAGCTACATATTTTCAGATAGGGAGAAACATCACTGGTTATGAAAATTTTATATGAAATGGTCTACGTCCAAACACAAGTTATTATAATAACATAATCTTCCTATATGTCCCTTTCAAATATGTGTTAAGCTCTGAATTAGGGTTTTTCATTTAATTTTGACTATTTCTTTCTTCTCCCCTGAGGTCAATCCTAGACTTAAAGGTGGAAAGACTGTAGGCATGATCTATTTTAGCAGTGGCAAATAAGACTCAGATTGCTGGCCAACTCTAATTCTTTGGTTGTAGCTTTCTAGAGCCCTGGATTGAGTAGATTTTCCTCCTGAGGGTCAACTGAAAAACTAGTCATGATCAGTTAGTAATCATTTCCATGGATGAAGGTGGAGAAATGGCAATACATACCCTTGACCTTGACCAACTCTATTATTTTATGGTTGAGGAAACCTCACATTAAACAGTATAAATCAGGGGTCCCCAACCCCCAGGTCATGGAACAGTACCAGTCTGTGGCCCATTAGAATCCAGGCTACACAGCAGGAGGTTAGCGGCAGGTGAGTGAGCAAGCTTCATCTGTATTTACAGCCACTCCCCATCACGTGCATTACCTCCTGAGCTCCTCCTTCTGTCAGATCAGGGATGGCATTAGATTCTCATAGGAGTGCAAACTCTATTGTGAAATGAACATGTGAGGGATCTAGGTTTTATGCTTTTTATAAGAATCTAATGCCTGATGATCTGTCACTGTCACCCATCACCCTCAGATGGGATGGTCTAGCTGCAGGAAAACAAGCACAGGGCTCCCACTGATTTTACATTATGGTGAGTATATAATTATTTCATTATATATTACAGTGTAATAGTAATAGAAATAAAGTGCACAGTAACAGTAATGTGATTGAATTATCTCAAAAGCATCTTCCCTCCTGGTCCATAGAAAATTTGTCTTCCACAAAATTGGTACCTGGTGCCAATAAGGTTGGGTACCGCTGGTATAAATGACTTCCTAGATAGTAAAGGAGGGCCAGGCTTGGTGGCTGATGCCTGTAATTCTAGCATTTTGAGAGGCTGAGGGGGGAGGATCACTTGAGCCCAGAAGTTTGAGACCAGCCTGGGCAAAATAGTGAGATCCCATGTCTACTAAATAAATAAATATGTATTCTATATAAATATAAATATATACATATTATACATATATGCCACCACACTTGTGTGTGTGTGCATATGCCTGTGGTTCCAGATACTTAGGAGGCTGAGGTGGGAGGATGGCTTGAGCCAGGAGGTGGAGGTTGCGGTGAGTCGTGATTGCACCTCTGCACTTCAGCCAGGGTGACAGAGTGAGACCCTGTCCCCTTCATGCAAAAAAAATAATGAAAGTAAAGGAGATAAATTTAAAAGCTATGGAGGCTTACTCCAATCTCTGTGTTCTTTCCATTACACCATCCAAATGATGTCTTTTACTTTTGATGTCTACAAAGAAAATGAGGTAATAAAAACTAGCCATGATTTGTTTGTTAATTATCATATGCTATTGGGAAGAGACTATGGGGTCCACTCACACATGCTTATCTCCCTTTCATTCACCCATGCACTTTCTCAATGAAGGTACACTGCATTATTTGGAGAATGCCATAAATACCAGTATGACCTAGGGATAAAAATTTGATACTGCAATGTAACTGAAACTTTTGGTAACATTTTGAAAGGTAGGAAGGAACGTTCGGAGCCACTGATTAATGGGTCATTTCATGTGTACAGATGGGTTTAAATGAGAAAGCAAAATAGTGTAGTGGAAAAACATTGAACTAAACAGATGTGGGTCCAAACCTTGGAACTGCTGTGTAGAGGTCTATAAAGTCCTAGGAAAGTCACTAATTTTCTCTGGGTCTTGGATTCCTCAGCTGGAAAAATTCAGAGTTAAAAAATGCCTTTTATGATTATTCTAAGGGTTGGAATAATATATCTAAAGCTCATGGCAGTGTAACTGATGAAAGATAACCACTCAATAAATATTAATTTTTACTATATAAAAGCTACAAAGAATTAAATAAAAAATAAAATGCCAATGAATTAGAAAAATTGTTTTTTAAAATCTTCCTGATGCTGAGGCATTAACAGCAACTCCTAAATGCACTTAAAACAATGCATTTCCAGAGTCACTGGGAACCTCTTATCGTCCTACCTGCAAATCTTGTTAAAAATAAAGATGTCTAGGGGTTGTTCCATTCAAGATCTACTACATGAAAATATCTGGGGATAACGCCTCATTGCCTATATTGTTTAACACACCCTATTCTTGTTGGAAGCCTCAAAAACCCTCTCCACCTCATGAATTAGAAATCAATTGAGAAATAAGAAAAAGAAGTCAAAATAATACATCAGGTGCTTTCAAGATTTAGGCTGGAAGAGGTAGTTTGTATCTGTGGGCAAGTCTGCCTTCTAATGCTGAGCCCCAGAATTAGAAAAGCATCTCTTCAGTCATAGGGAATGCTAGACCAGGAAGGGCTCACCACAGGGCTGCAGACTTTCAGAATGGAGAGAATGTGAGTCCCCTAAGGCCAACCATCCCACCAGGAAGAGCAGAATCACTTAGGCTAACATACCCTGAGTCAAGTAAACTGTTTTATTTCCTACAGATAAGAAAGGGCAGGGATGTATTAAATAGCCAGGATTATCACTGTAATTTATACCCCTTCCAATACACATGAAAGGAAAGCTCATTAGTGGAAAAAAAAATCTACCACCACCCCCTCACACATCTCCTGAGCAGTTTTTATGCTCATATTTTTGAAGTTTTTTGGTCTAAAGAGTCTACTTTTCTTTCTTCTCTTCTCTTCTTTTTTCTTTTTTTCTTTACTTTTCTCTCTTTCACTCTTCTCTCTCTCTCTCTTTCTTTCTCTCTCTCTCTCTCTCTTTTTTTAATACAGAGTTTCACTCTTGTTGCCCAGGCTGGAGTGCAGTGGTGTGATCTTGGCTCACTGCAACCTCCGCCTCCTGGGTTCAAGCGATTCTCCTGCCTCAGTCTCCAGAGTAGCTGGGATTACAGGCACCCACCAGCATGCCTGGCTAATTTTTGTATTTTTAGTAGAGACTGAGTTTCACCACATTGATCATGCTGGTCTCGAACTCCTGACCTCAGGTGATCCACCCGCCTTGGCTGGGGATTACAGGGGTGAGCCACTGTGCCCAGCCAAGAGTCTACATTTCTGTTCAGTAGCCCTCCACAAACCATTTCAAGTGTCACTCTGATGTAGACTACACCACGTGTGTGCCTGAAATATTTGCAGGGCCTGAGTGTGCAAGTAAAGATGGAGCCGATGCGATGCTGCTACCGCCGTCCTGAACTGCTGTTATGTGTGGTTCTCTTCCCTGCTCCTGGGACACCTCTGACTCTGCTTACCCTCCTCCCAGAGTGGTGACAGGCCATGGGGAATGAAGGTTTAATGTGCCTTTGTCAGTTCACCATATTTTCAAACACCAAGGTTTTAAAGAGCAAGGAAAGTAGAAATAGAAGGAAAATAATCAACACATACATAAAGTAATAGATATGAGGAAAAATAATTACTATGTATGAACACAAATGACATGGAAAAATCCAGATGCTTTCTGGTCCTGTATCATCAAAAAGTCATCATATACACAAAATAAATGTACTTATTTTTTATTTGTGGATTTTTTCTTTTGCAAGATGTTGGCAATAAAGACCTCATTTCAACATTACTGTTACCATTATTACTATTGCTATGAGTTATTAAACAGTACTACAGGTTATTTCCTGTTTGAAAGATGAAACCTAGAAATGGGAGAATGGAGTGGTTTCATTGGCTGAAAAGGGCAAGAAAACAAAAGAACTTCATGTTTGCTACTTTCAATCCCAACTCTTCCTCTAACTATCATTCTTTTATTTTTATTTTTTATTTATTTTTTATTTTTTTGAGACAGGGTCTAACTCTGTCACCTAGGCTGGACGGCTCGATCTCAGCTCACTGCAACCTCCACCTCCCAGGTTCAAGCAATTCTCCTGCCTCAGCCTCCCAAGTAGCTGAGATTACAGGTGTGTGCCACCACACCTGGCTAATTTTTGTATTTTTAGTAGAGACAGGGTTTCACCACGTTGGCCAGGCTGTTCTCAAACCCCTGACCTCAAATGATTTGCCTGCCTCGGCTAAGATTGCAGGTGTGAGCCACTGCACCCAGCCACTGTCATTCTTTTAATAGTATGCAGCTATGAATTATTTAAATTAGAATTGGATGCTTGGTTGCAAGAAGACATTTGCAACATTTCTGTTGAAGATTAGTATAAAATATATAAGAAATAATTCTAAAATATGCAAGAGAAAGATAAAACATTCTATAGATAATGTGGCAAAATAAATAATCAATTTACAAAACAGAAATCTGAATGGCTGAGAAATACATGAAGAGACATTCATTCTTACTGATAAAGAAGTGAAAATAAAGATAAAACACCAACTTGTGTCTATGCGATTGGCAAAAAACAACTCAGACAATATCAAGTGCTGACAAGCATGAGGAGAAACCAGTATCATCCATCACTGCTGATTGTCACGAGGGCTGGTCCAGCCCTGTTGAGGTGCAATATAACTGTGAAATTAAGTTAAAAATGCTCTGTGCTTCAACAATTCTTTTGTAGGTTTTTCTACAGGGAAAACCTTTACAAATATTTTTCTGTAAGAAAACCTGTACAAAGATGAAGTACTTTGTTGAACTACTACAGATTGTAGTGTAGAATTGAAGACAACCCAAGCTACCATCTCATGAGTAACAGGGAAGTTAAGTGTAGAAAATGCACAAAAAGTGATTGTATACAGGAGGAATGACTGTATACAGAAGACTTCTTTAGGAAGAAAGTGAGGCTCCCACTTGTCACAAGCTATCATGGGCTTCACGTAGTTTTCAGAAGACCTTATGGAAGAAGTTTTAGCTCTTTGAAGTCTGAGAGACCAGGCACCCTCCTCTTTCATCCCATAAGGAGCTGAGTTCAGAAAAAGGAAAGCAGCCAAATTCAAGAGCAAACCAGAGGAAGCAACCATGGGAATGCTTGGGACCCAGCCGAGGTCTCCAGCCAAGAGCCAACACTGTTACAGAGAAGCTAACTCTGCATGTACAGGCCTTGAGGGTTCAATAGCCATGTTCTGGTTTTTAGCTCAGCCTTTAAGAAAGTGAGTTTCCCCAGGTTCCCCCTTTGTGGGAGCTTTCTTTAAACTCATGCCTCACACAAATCTTTGACCAGCTGAACAGTAGAGTCATTTAGTAAACACTGCGTAGTTACTACACCCCCATTTACATAGGAAAACATGGATAGATTTCAAATACATAATGCTACAATGATAAAAGATGAGAAATACGAAATTAGTAGCAAAATAAAATTCATATACATCTAAAAATACAGAATATAATGCTATATTTTTTCATAGAAACACTTATAAGGAAGTAGGGTCTGAAATGTAGAATGAATAGACATACCTTAAATATTTGAGAATGAATGCTGAAGGGGAGGGAAGTGGGATTGGATATGAAATGCAGCAGAGGGAGAGTGAGAGTAAGAGCGAGTGAGAGAGAGAGAGAAAGAGAGAGAAAGGGAGAGAGAATGTCGCAACAGTTGATAATGCTAGTATGCCAGGAATAAGAGGTACAATTAGTGTAATTATGCACATTTGTGTATTACAAATACATAATTAAATATTATAAATAACATATAGAACTATAAATAAAATAGAGATCAACGAGCAGTTCCTGATACAGCATCTCACAATTGTCCACTAAAATACTAATGTGGGCAAAAAGACAAAAATAATACAGAAAACTGTAGCAGAATCTAGAATGAATTTCTACTCTTAGGTCAAAGAAGGTGGAATATAACTATATTATGGCCTGGTAATATTTGGCTTCATAGCATCTGAAAGAAGTTAGGAAGGTGTTTTAACCTGCCTCTCCAATCCTGTCTCCAACCCCGGCTTCTAGCTGAATGACCAGGATGTGTGTTAACCAAAAAACTGGACCACTATCCCTTGATCACAAAGGGCCTGTTCATAGCAATGACCAGAAAGTAATCTCAAATCTCACTTTCTATATCAGAGGCTATCCAGAAGTGGACCAAAAATTATCAGTCACGTCTATGTGCTGCAGCATTATTTGTGGTAGTTAGTTCCTTAGTCCAGTTTTGCTGCTGTAGCAAAATACCTCAGACTGTGTAATTTATAGACATTTACTTCTCATAGTTCTAAAGGTTGGGAAGCCCAAGATCAAGGTTCTTGCAGGTTTGGTGTCATATAAGGGCCATTCTCTCTGCTTCCAAGGTGGTGCCTTGTTGCTGCATTCTCCAGGGGGAACCAATGCTGTGTCCTCACATGGTGGAAGATTGAAGGGTAAAAAGGGATAGACTTCCTCTGTCAAGCCCCTTTAATAAGGGGACCAAATCCTATTCATGAGAGTGGAGCCCTCGTGACTTAATCACTTCCCAAAGTCCACACCTATTAATACTGCAGCATCAGGGATTAAGTTTCCACATGAATTTTGGAAGGGACACTGTCATTCAAAGCACAGAAGTAGGCCAGAAGCTCAGTAGCCAGCTGAGAAATAGTAAAATAAATTATAGCCATCTTGTGGCATATAACACACTCATCATAATCATGTTTTTGAAGAAGAGTAAGAAACATAAGAAAATATTCATGATATTACCCAAAAAGTGCAGAAAACAAAAATTATATAGTACTGCACTACTTTTGTTTAAATATATGTATATGTACACTAAGGGTAAATATACCAACATACTGACAATGGATTATATTTGGATGTTAGGAATGGTCATGGTTTTACTTGTTTTCTTTACTCATCTCTATTCCTCTAATTTCTGATAATTAATAGCAATTCCTTTTATAAGTGGTAAAAATAAAAGACAGTGGCAGCTAATGCTAATTGCTTACTCTATGCTGGGCACCATTCTAAGTCCTGTGTATACTTCGTGTGTATAAAGTCTTTTTTATCCTTGTAACAGATCTATGAAGTGAGTACCATAATTGTACCTGTTTATCTGCAGTTGGAGGTCCCTGAGACAGAAGCTGAGCTCAATGGCACTTGGGCTTGGGAGTCTCAACAGTGTACATGCTGTCATCTAAGTTTCTTTATTCCACGCTTGGAGATAAGTCTTAGTGCAACTTTACAATGTAAGATGGTGGTTTCCTAATAACAGCTTTGGGGCTGGGAGAGTCCAATGGTACCAGGTGAAGGAACTAAAAGAGGGAAGGAAAAGCAAGAGCCTGAAAGACATAAAACTTTTTTTCAAGCTAGTGCTCTCAGTTCTAAAGTCAAGTAGCAAACACACAGTTGTTTAAAGGAGAAAAGTAATTAGTTTGGCTTAATTTTGTTTTATGTACTTCTTCCAAGAAGACAATATAAGAAGCAAAAGAGACATATATTAGCTCCATGATTAGCACACAAACATCTTCTGAGTTGCAAGTTGCATGCTTTATTAGACACTGACATGGATTTTTTTTTTTTTTTGAGACAGAGTCTTGCTCTGTTGCCCAGGCTAGAGTGCAGTGGCTTGATCATGTCTCAGTACAGCCTGGACCTCCTGGGCTCAAGCGATCCTCCTACCTCAGCCTTCCTAGTAGTTGGGACCAAAGGCGTGTGTCACCACACGTGGGAAATATTTAAATTATTTTTGCAGAGACAGGGTCTCACTATGTGGCCCGGGCTTGTCTTGAACTCCTGGGCTCAAATGGTCCTCCTGCCTTGGCACAGGCATAAGCCACCATGCCTGGCACCAACGTTGGTTTTTGATGAAGGGAGGTACTCAGTAGGGGGTCTACTTTGGAGAGACCACCGAATGCAGAATACTTCCCCCTTGGGGAAATCCACAGAGAGGCAGGTCTTCATCTCTACTGAGATCTTGACACAGAGATGGGCCAATGTGATTCTGCCTCCAGCCTACTCCATATGTAATAAGGCCCTGGTCTAGCTGTTGTTCTCTGTTTTGCTTCATTTGTTTGCAATTTCCTGATGGGAAACCCCAGTAAATGTCAGGGTCCAAACAGTAAGGTGAGTCTAGGTAAACTGACCAACTCAGACAAAGCTTGCCTTTCATACCTGAGTAATGATCAGGTGCCATCATTCAAATTCATTCATTGATCCTTCAGCAGCTGGGGTAAGTGAAAAGGTGTCTGTGGTCACCATGTATTTGATGACCTCATTCTGCCCGCTGTGAAAGAGCTAGCTTTTCGTGATGGGCAGACCAAAGCTATTTGCCTCAAGTTCTGATGCTGGGATCTTTTACTGCCACAAAGACCTGATTAAACTTTTAGGTGCTTCATCGGGTCTGTTGGCTCTTGTTAACACTAACCTGTTGTGGTGCCCTTCAAAGTACTTTTTCTCCAGGGTTGCAGTGAACTGAGAGAGCTTATTTAGCATTTATTAAATAGTAAATAGCTAATTACTCAAAGTAGCTATTTACATATTGAATTTATTTTTCTTGGCATCTTTAATGTCTGATTAACATTTTCTTCCTACAGCTGGAAGATACTTACACAGAATAAAACATTCCCTTATTTAATCTCAAGTGGAATATACTATAAGTGTGATCATTTTAATTTGTGTCATTTATTAGCAGGAGAGAGGTATCGTACAGGTGGGATGCTCTATCACATGCCAATTAGCAGGTGGCTTAGAGGGCAAGAGGGAAAATTATTTTACCGGGGGATTATAGAAGTCACAGAAGGAGAAGTTCAACTGTGGGAAAAATAGAAGAGATGACATTGGGATGCCTAATTTTGGAGACTGGGGACAGAGCTTAAAGAAGTGACAATAATACTGTACAGACATCCTAAGAGAATACTTAAAATAGAAAGTCTGGCATCCTCTTTGTAAAAATCACTATTTCTTTTTCTAATCATATGAGAACCAAAGCTAACACTAAAGGAGACCTGACTGACCTAATTAAAGTGTGTTATATAAATGAAGAAATGAAGGCATAGAGAAGTCTTGCCCCAGTGTGGCTTAAATCAGCAGTGTGGATAGATGTAAAAAACTCACCTGCAGTCTCCTATTCCACTGAATGTTTTAGGAACCCATATGGCAGGATTTCTTGTCTGTAGCATGTTTTTTTTCAATTGCTTCCCAATGGCCCACATCAGGATGTTTGACTACACCACACTTATATCTGGGAGACTTCCAAAGTATGTTTTAAAAAGAGGAATGTGGCAGGTTCATACAAAGCAAGAGAGAGCAAACAAAATTTCTCCAAGCAGCACATGGCTTCATAATTTAGAAATAGCATTGTGGGAAAATGGTGTCCACCACAAAAGGAAGGAGGAGTCAGCTTTGCAAGGGAGCACAACTCATTTACTGTTATTCTCATTGACCTGTTGAGCTTCTTTTATCCTCTGGCTTCTGGAAGCCAATAGTTAGTTGTACATTGAGGCAATCTCTGTTAGGATTAACTCAAGTGTTTGGCTTATGGCCTACCCACACCACAGCTGTTTGGTACCCTTCCTAGCCAGATTGGAAAACTAAAATATTGCAAAGCAACTTCTCATCTTGGTATGTAATAAGTACTGGATACATATTTCTCAAGTGAGTGAATGCAGAGTGCCTTTTATGATTATGCAGGTTGTGCTTCAGAGGCCCAGCCAAGGGGCATAAATGGGAACTGAAATCCAACTGCCCTCTGGGTGCCAAGCCAGGTGCCCTGGCATGTGGCTGCTCCCCAACTCCTGAAAGAGGTGCTATTTGCTAACTGGTTCACACTCTGAGATGTCTTTTATTCTAGTTTGCACAAAGATGCAAGACAGACTAGCTGTAACCTTGAAGAAATTTATGCAACCTGTGATGAAGTGGGCAGAGCTGACTGTGAGCTTCATGCCCTGCTAAATATAGGTAGCTTTTCAAAGTGCTGCTATTGCAGCGGGAGCTCCCAGAAATTTATAAGGGATCTAGACAAGTGTCTGGGAATTGCCAATGTTTTCTTCCTGTGCACGTATTATTCTTTTTTTATGAATTCATAATATTCTTAGAGTTGGCATCACATCATTTAATAATTTTTTTCTCTTTATCTCTCTTTTACTCTTTAAGGTTTTCAAGTGAATCTTTTACTATTATATGTATTTGAATGCATAGATGCAATATCTCTGTGTCCTTTAACATATATTAGGAATTCAACAAATACTTCTTTAAAAAACTAGATTGTAAAATCCTTAAAAACAAGAAGTATGTCATATGCTTCTGTTCAAGCCTCTTCAGTTTCCAGCACTCTGTGCAGAATTAAATTTGTTAACTGTTTAGCAAAGTACATTGGACTGACTGAACTCAACACTACTCTCAGAAGTTTTTGGAGACTCCAACCTTCTTCCATGGATTGGTATACTTGGGGCTGATTTTCCTTGGCATGCTGCAGGTTTTCTAAAGAAAGTCTGTTACTTAAAGGCAGATACCTTCGACTGGATTTTCTGCCTTCACTCTCTACCATTCTCTACCCTACTCCAGGCATTGGGAAGCTGATTCACATGAATTATACAATCAAACTCTCATGCCCTCAGGCTTCTGGTTGGATTTAGTCAGTGGGCATCCCTGGTAGGAGGTTGGAGGGGAGTGGATATTGAGATCTGGATGTTTATTCCTCTAGCTTTCTCCCTGGGAAGTCACTTCAAGGTTGTCTGTGTTCCTCCACCTAAGGTCTCAAGGTCTACAGTCTCACCACGGTCTCTTTCTAAGTAACAATGACTATTCCCTTGTCTCACTCCATGGGGTCCAGGAATAATGGTGGACCTATTATTTCTAGCAAGTTATTTTGCTATTCCTGTAGTTTTCCTACATCCCTACCTCCATCTTTATAAATAGTTACTATATTATGCCCTCTTTAAATTACCCTTGTTTGAGTGTGCCAGTTGTTTCATCTTGCATCCAATGTCGGATTAACTAGCACCATGCTAAAACATAGGTAAACGATGTGAAGCAGCTGGAGTCCCTGCCCTGCACCTTAGTCCTGCCATATGCTGTCTTAGAATAACCCTCTAACTTGGTCTTCTGGCTCCTCTCATTTTTAACTCCATGTTCAGCCTTTGCATCTTGGTTTGCCAGCTTTCTTCATGTGACCCTCAGCTCCAGGGTCTGGTGCAATGTTATTTTCTTCACTTGGATTCAACCATATTTAGAATGATTTTACCTCCCTTTCATATCCCCAGAGGACATTACCCAGAATTTTCCGGGACTTCTCTCTTTATAAGACCAACCCCTGAAGATAGATTTCTAACAAGTCACAACTATATTAAGAGTGAGCAACTTATACGCCCCTTTTCTTATTTACAGGGTGACAATTGTTGAGAGTGGTCTCACCTTTTTCCATTTATAAGAAGACCGCTACCTATACTGCATCAGCTTTAACTTCAGTCTGCTCCCTGCTACCCAGGCTTAGTGTCTTGGAGTACATATTTTACAAAGTTACTGGCCCTTAGTCTAACAGAGCAACAACTTTAACAGATTAATTCCTTAAGTTTGGGACCTTGGGTTATATAAAAGTAAATGATGTTATCAGTTCTATAAATCCAACATTCTGTTATATTTACATAAAATGAAGGTTCATTAAATTTTATCCTCCTTGTACTCTATCCCCAAAATGGTATTATAAATTTTCTTTTCCTGGAGTTCTTAATGATCCAAAATGTACTCTTTAAGGAGATCCACTGGCAATGTTCTGAAATACAGAAGTGCTGCTCCTAAGTGTATATATATATTTTTTAACAAAAGATCTGGCTGTTGCTTTTTGTGGATTCATCTTGAAATCTGTGTAAGTGAAATAGTAAACACTAAATGCTGAGACAGGATAGATAAAAATATTAATGTCTCTTTGTTTGCATGTTAGGTGAGAGGCGTTGCTCAGGAAATATTCATGAGAAGGTAAAAGGCTGTAGAACAAACAGGGTTGATATGCTCCTTAAATGTCAAGTCAGAATTGGTAACAGCACTGAGACTTGATCCCAGTAGCAGTGAAGTATGAGAACGGGATACGCTCCAGTATAGCCTTCTGCAGGGCATGAATGGAGGAGTAATTGATGAGGACCTATCAATAAAGAATTCAGGTGATTTTGAGTTCAACACTAGTATTTACTAGGAATCAGAGTGGGTGTCTGACAGACATGAATATACAGAATCTGCTAGAGATCTGACTGATGTGTACATTTGAGTCACAACTGCCGTCTAAGAAGTTATAGGGTTGAGAAAGTGTTCCTAATTTCACTGGTTCATGAGAGTGGTATCCTCATGAGAATAGATCAAGAAAATTTCAGGCTACCGGTAGAGCACCCCATCATCTAAAAGTCTCTAAGGCATTAAGAAGTCCCCTAAGATGATCCCCTGAAGGTCATCAGAACTTGACATTATAGGAAAATGATTTTACCTCAGAGGCCTCTGAGAATTGTTTAGGAGAGAAAGGAAAACACCTACCTATCTGCTTCTTGATCTCAGAAACTGTAGTAGAACAGGTGAGTAGTGACAAATAAAAGAATGAACATTAACTATTTACAATAGCAAAGACTTGGAACCAACCCAAATGCCCATCAGTGATAGAATCGATAAAGAAAATGTAGCACATATATACCATGGAATACTATGAAGCCATAAAAGATGAGTTCATGTTCTTTGCAGGGACATTGATGAAGCTGGAAGTCATCATTCTCAGCAAACTAACATAGGAACAGAAAACCAAAAACCACATGTTCTCACTCATAAGTGAGAGCTGATCAATTAGAACACATGGACACAGGGAGGGTAACATCACACACTGGGGCCTGTCGGGGGGTGGAAGGCAAAGGGAGGGAGAGCATTAGGTCAAATACCTAATGCATATAGGGTTTAAAACCTAGATGATGGGTTGATAGGTGCAGCAAACCACTATGGCACATGTATACCTATGTAACAAACCTGCACGTTCTGCACATGTATCCCAGAACTTAAAGTAAAATTTAATAAAAAGAATATTTAAAAAGAAAGAAATTTAATTCACATCCAAGAAAAAACAAAACAAAACTACCAAAGAATGAGCATTAGTTTGCTGGAGCTGATCATGATAATGGAGGGTTGGAAAGGGTGGAAGGCCCAGGAGCAGATGGGTGGCAATGTTGCTATTGGTATGCTTGGATCAGAAACCAAACATAAAGGTGGCTTCAGAATGTTTCTTCCTTAAAGAAAATAAATAGAAAGCAAAAAGATATTATCTTACTAGCAGCAATCTCCGGTTGCGCCAGACTGTCTTTCCTAAACTCTGTAACTTCCCATCTCTGCAGCACTGAGTATTTCCCTTTCTCCTCCAGAAAGCCTCTTCTGACTAACCTGGCCCACTGTAAAGTCACTCGCCCAGGTGTTGACTCTCCTTCAATACTTACACGTTCCTATCGTATATATTTGGTCAGCTTACACTTAGATTATAGTCTCATGAAATGAGGGGCAGAATTTCTCAGGCTTCTTTAATTCTCCTCCATCAGCTCTGAGTCTGCCTTATACAAGTAAGTGCTTGATAAATACCTTGATTGAAAGGCTAATAAGATAATACATAATAAACACACTGATTGTTAAACTGATCCTGACGCTGCCATTATATTTTAGAATATTCCCAGTGAGTAAAGTCAGGTCATTTTGGCCACGACCATTGGCTAGTTATCTATTTGTCTATTGCTGATATTGTGCCAGGCATTTGATCTTAGAGAGATACCTGAAACGTATTGCACATGTATTAGGTTTTCCTAAGTGTTCTGTCATATTCAATATGTATTCAATTATTGAGCAAAAAATGGATGCTTTGCTAGGATGGCCTGCTCTATGAATGTATATTGAATGAATAAATGCAGTAAGGAACTAAAGGAAAAATGAATGAATCATTAATTGATGACCCTGTATCCCTCTAATCCCTCTAATCATTGGAACTGAGTCTTCCACATTGTAGGTTGAGCCTCATGCCAGACCTTATTACCTAGGACAAGGAGTGAGAGGAATCCTGTCAGGAGGTCTTAAATTCATGATCAACCTAGTCCTTCTGCTGGTCATGCTTTGAATTGGTAACTCAGTTCCTATGTGGCGTGTCTGTGACAAAGTCTTTGTTCAATGCTGTGTCCCAAACTGGATTTCCTATCTCCAAACTTCAGGCTCCTCTTTACTGGATCTCTGATTTCTCATGCTATGCTTCGTAGTGCCATACTAGCCCAGTTAAGGGGATTAGGTTTGATCCTATAGTCATTGGTAAGGCATTGAAGGGATTTAAATCTGAATGTGTTCATCCTTCGGTCAAAGCTCACTGCTGTTTGGATAAGTTCCCAGTTCTTCAGCACAGCACACAAAGTCACTCAGCATCCAGACAGTGTCAAAGTCTCCTGCTTCTTTCCCTGACTCTCTTCCAAGCAGTCTCCATTACTTCTAGAATTTGCCATGTTCCTTCACTTCTGACCTCTCCAATATGGACTATTTTCCCCTCTCATCTTTTCCTGGTTAACTCCTACTCAGTCTTTAGATTTCACCCTTAGATATCACTTCCTCTGGTAAACTTCCTGTGATAAAGCCTCTGGTATATTCCCAAGATACCACATAATTGCCTTATCAAAACATAATATCACATTGGTTCTGAATACATTATATTTCTATTTTCTTCATTAGATGTTAAGTTTCATGAGGGATGGGACCATGACAGTCTTCTGTACCATTTTATCTTCAATGATTAATTTTTGAATTGAGAATAATTATATGGATGAATGGATGGTGATATGGTTTGTTTCTCTGTCCCTACCCAAATCTCATTTTGAATTATAATTTCCAATGTTGGGGAAGGGACCTGGTGGGAGGTGATTGGATCATGGAGGTGGATTTCCCACTTGCTGTTCTCATGATAGAGAGTGAGTTCTTATGAGATCCGATGGTTTAAAAGTGTGTGGCACTTCCCCCTTTGCTCTCTCTCTCTCTTTCTCCTGTCACCGTGTGAAGATGTGCTTGTTCCCCCTTCAACTTCTGCTATGATTATGTTTCCTCAGGCCTCCCTAGCCATGCTTCCTGTACATCCTGTGGAATGATGAGTCAATTAAAACTCTTTTCTTCATAAACTACCCAGTCTTAGGTAGTTCTTTATAGCAATGTGAGAATGGACTAATACAGAGGATATCAATCTCTTTCCTACTTAGATATCCTGTGATTATATTTTAGATTCCTGAAATAGTATAGGATCCAAATATGATCTAGAATAAGGAAACGTATCTGATTTTCTTGTAGGCTTTTGAAAGGGCAGGTGTCACAATGACAGAGAAAGGGAAAAAATGGAGATCAGAGCAGGTGTCAAGAACCCAAGGAAGGCTTTACCTTACTTAATAGAAAATACGTGTTCTAGAAATGTACTCAATAAAGTGAATTATTACTAAACTAAATGAAGCTACTTAAAGTGAAGAGGCATTTGACAGATCATATAGCATGGTGATTTCTACCCAAGCCCAGATGTCATATTGTCTGCCTATTCTCAACATGGGTAAAACACTCAGAACACTCAGTTTGTCAAGTGACAGGAATCTCTTGCATGGGGAAAATGTTCCATCAATTTCAGAGACACACTTCTTTTTTTTTTTATTATACTCTAAGTTTTAGGGTACATGTGCACATTGTGCAGGTTAGTTACATATGTATACATGTGCCATGCTGGTGCGCTGCACCCACTAATGTGTCATCTAGCATTAGGTATATCTCCCAATGCTATCCCTCCCCCCTCCCCCGACCCCACCACAGTCCCCAGAGTGTGATATTCCCCTTCCTGTGTCCATGTGATCTCATTGTTCAATTCCCACCTATGAGTGAGAATATGCGGTGTTTGGTTTTTTGTTCTTGCGATAGTTTACTGAGAATGATGGTTTCCAATTTCATCCATGTCCCTACAAAGGATATGAACTCATCATTTTTTATGGCTGCATAGTATTCCATGGTGTATATGTGCCACATTTTCTTAATCCAGTCTATCATTGTTGGACATTTGGGTTGGTTCCAAGTCTTTGCTATTGTGAATAGTGCCGCAATAAACATACGTGTGCATGTGTCTTTATAGCAGCATGATTTATAGTCCTTTGGGTATATACCCAGTAATGGGATGGCTGGTTCAAATGGTATTTCTAGTTCTAGATCCCTGAGGAATCGCCACACTGACTTCCACAATGGTTGAACTAGTTTACAGTCCCACCAACAGTGTAAAAGTGTTCCTATTTCTCCACATCCTCTCCAGCACCTGTTGTTTCCTGACTTTTTAATGATTGCCATTCTAACTGGTGTGAGATGATATCTCATAGTGGTTTTGATTTGCATTTCTCTGATGGCCAGTGATGGTGAGCATTTCTTCATGTGTTTTTTGGCTGCATAAATGTCTTCTTTTGAGAAGTGTCTGTTCATGTCCTTCGCCCACTTTTTGATGGGGTTGTTTGTTTTTTTCTTGTAAATTTGTTTGAGTTCATTGTAGATTCTGGATATTAGCCCTTTGTCAGATGAGTAGGTTGCGAAAATTTTCTCCCATGTTGTAGGTTGCCTGTTCACTCTGATGGTAGTTTCTTTTGCTGTGCAGAATCTCTTTAGTTTAATTAGATCCCATTTGTCAATTTTGGCTTTTGTTGCCATTGCTTTTGGTGTTTTGGACATGAAGTCCTTGCCCACGCCTATGTCCTGAATGGTAATGCCTAGGTTTTCTTCTAGGGTTTTTATGGTTTTAGGTCTAACGTTTAAATCTTTAATCCATCTTGAATTGATTTTTGTATAAGGTGTAAGGAAGGGATCCAGTTTCAGCTTTCTACATATGGCTAGCCAGTTTTCCCAGCACCATTTATTAAATAGGGAATCCTTTCCCCATTGCTTGTTTTTCTCAGGTTTGTCAAAGATCAGATAGTTGTAGATATGCGGCATTATTTCTGAGGGCTCTGTTCTGTTCCATTGATCTATATCTCTGTTTTTGTACCAGTACCATGCTGTTTTGGTTACTGTAGCCTTGTAGTATAGTTTGAAGTCAGGTAGTGTGATGCCTCCAGCTTTGTTCTTTTGGCTTAGGATTGACTTGGCAATGCGGGCTCTTTTTTGGTTCCATATGAACTTTAAAGTAGTTTTTTCCAATTCTGTGAAGAAAGTCATTGGTAGCTTGATGGGGATGGCATTGAATCTGTAAATTACCTTGGGCAGTATGGCCATTTTCACGATATTGATTCTTCCTACCCATGAGCATGGAATGTTCTTCCATTTGTTTGTGTCCTCTTTTATTTCCTTGAGCAGTGGTTTGTAGTTCTCCTTGAAGAGATCCTTCACATCCCTTGTAAGTTGGATTCCTAGGTATTTTATTCTCTTTGAAGCAATTGTGAATGGGAGTTCACCCATGATTTGGCTCTCTGTTTGTCTGTTGTTGGTGTATAAGAATGCTTGTGATTTTTGTACATTGATTTTGTATCCTGAGACTTTGCTGAAGTTGCTTATCAGCTTAAGGAGATTTTGGGCTGAGACGATGGGGTTTTCTAGATAAACAATCATGTCGTCTGCAAACAGGGACAATTTGACTTCCTCTTTTCCTAATTGAATACCCTTTATTTCCTTCTCCTGCCTAATTGCCCTGGCCAGAACTTCCAACACTATGTTGAATAGGAGCGGTGAGAGAGGGCATCCCTGTCTTGTGCCAGTTTTCAAAGGGAATGCTTCCAGTTTTTGCCCATTCAGTATGATATTGGCTGTGGGTTTGTCATAGACAGCTCTTATTATTTTGAAATACGTCCCATCAATACCTAATTTATTGAGAGTTTTTAGCACGAAGGGTTGTTGAATTTTGTCAAAGGCTTTTTCTGCATCTATTGAGATAATCATGTGGTTTTTGTCTTTGGCTCTGTTTATATGCTGGATTACATTTATTGATTTGCGTATATTGAACCAGCCTTGCATCCCAGGGTGAAAAAGAGGGAATCCTCCCTAACTCATTTTATGAGGCCAGCATCATTCTGATACCAAAGCCGGGCAGAGACACAACCAAAAAAGAGAATTTTAGACCAATATCCTTGATGAACATTGATGCAAAAATCCTCAATAAAATACTGGCAAACCGAATCCAGCAGCACATCAAAAAGCTTACCCACCATGATCAAGTGGACCCACTTCTTTAATGAAACAAAAATCCACTTTTCCTGATTTGTAAATTTGGGGCTTTGCAAAATGGATTTTCATTAGGGGCTTATTGATGACTTAGCAAAGGCTTGTTGGGTGAATTGACAAATTGATGAAGGTGAAACGGTTGAAGATAAAACAGATGTGAGGATCATGCAGGGACACAAATGTCTCTTTGGGTCTCCAAAAATCACTGTAGAGAGCAGATGCTCAGAGAGGTTGAAACAATGATGATTCTTCCTAAATTTTTATTTGGGTTTGGAATATATCATTCTTAAGCATTCAGAGTGTATCAGGGCTCTTGCCTTTGTGGAAAGGGGAGTGGGTTCTAAAATGAAAGGGAAATGGCACTTGACTTCTTAGATGGCGGGAACATGCTTTCATTTCAGAGAAACTGCCCTTGTAACTGACGTGGAGCAGCGTTGCCAGGAGCAGGCTGCTGGAGCCTACAACAGATGCCACTCTGCATATGGCTGCCTTCTCAACTTTCAAGAAAACAGGTTACCCAAACCCATCTACCTGTCCTTCTTCAGCTGGTGTGTACAGTTGAAAGGAAAACAGAATGTCCTGAAGGGGAAATAAATTGGTGCTTTATTCTTTGGGATTTTATATAACTCTTACCTCCAGGATGTTAGAAATACCATGTTTCCCAAACACTTCTCACTTTGAAATGTACACCTTGGCCATGCTGAGACCCTTAGGGCTCTGGCTTTCCTTTTTTACTCGTCATTCTGTTTTGCCATTACATAAAGTGTGAATTTAGGAGTGTGGCTGTCTGAGACATGGGGATAAAGGCAGATTTTGGTCATTAGATTGGCTGAAAGCCAGTTCTTTTCTCCTCCTCTGCTGTGGCTCTGAAGCTAACTGCTTGCTGCCATTTCTTAGGGTGAAAAAGGGGAGCTGTCCCTTCCAGGGACCATGAGTCAGGGACCCCTTTGCTTTACCACCTGGAAACTCTACCACTCTTACCACCCTTTATACTTTTGCTTTCATGAAAAATTCAAGGTCACAAAATGTGAGAGAAATTCAGGATTTTGTCTGTATGCAATGGAGGCAAATTGAACATAGCATCTCATGTTACCCAGTACTTTTTAGTTTAGGTTTAAAGTATTAAATTTGTTCCTTCTGTTTTCAATCCTTTTGTTCTTTAGATCTTTCTCTTAGATTCCAGTTGCTTCAGGGAAAGATCTGGTCATTTTATTGTACTTTCTTTCCCGTTCTACTCTATGACTGAACTACCTTTATGTAACTTTGATTTCTGGAGGAATGTATTATTTCTTATGTGAGTACAACACAGTTCGGGAGCCCTCAAGACCACTCTCACTTCTAACACTAACTGCACATTTGAGGGACTCCCAAAGAGTCACTCACATCTAACATTGGCTGCAAGTTCATGGTTTCTCAAGACCATATTGAGGTTCAATAATTTGCTAGATGGACTCAGGCAACTCACTAAGAGCTGTTATACTCATGGTTATGTTTTATACAGCAAGAGAGTACACTACAATCAACCAAGGGAAGAGGAGCATAGGGCAAAGTCTAGGAAGGTTGCAAGCATGGAGTTTCTAGTTGTCTTCTCAGTGGAGTTGTGTGGATAACACTTATTAGTTTCAGCAATGATGTGTGATGATACATAAAAAGGATTGACAACCAGAGAAACTCATCCCTTCCTTGGTGTCGGGAGTTTTGTTGGGGCTCAGCCTTGAGACTTGGCTGACCTCCCGGGTGGCTGACTTTAGTCTTCAGCTCCTCCAAAGGTTAAGCTGACACTGCATGGTCTGAAACTCCCTCACCATAAATCACATTTTTAACATAGACTCTGGCATGGCCCAAGGCCCACAGGTAAACAAACACATTCTTATGAGGCAGGACATTCTAAAGTGTTAGAGGTTACCTCCTAGGAGCCAAACCTGTCTTTGTGCAAGATGAATCCCTTGCTGCACAGAAACTTCATGCCTCCAGTTGAAAATGTCTGGTTTTCTAGTTGTTTCATTAATTCAGCTGGTATCTGCCACTTATTTTCTGTCTTTTTTCAGAGCTTTTTTCCTAGCCTCTATTATGAAATAATTTTGTTCTTCCCCAACTGTTGGTTTTCTAACGGTTTTGTTGTTGTTGTTGTTATTGTTGTTTTATTTTTTAATCACCAGAAGCTTTGTTTGTTTGAGATAAATGAAGATTTGGGATTTCCTTCTTGACAACTTTGTTATTCAGAAGGCAAGTCTCCAACTGAATTCTCAAACATACAAATTCTTATTAGCTGGCAGGCAAGAAAATTAGTTTTTATTTTTTTAAAAATAGCAGAACCTTTTTAAACTTGATAAAGTCTTGACTTTCTATCCTTTTAAGGTGTTCTGCCAACCTTGAGTAAAGGTTTACTTGAGGTAGATGTGAAATATTCTAGCTTCATGACTCAGGTAAATAGTGAGGTGACAGAATCTGTTTGAGTCTGAATATAGAACCCAGTGCCTGGGCCCAGGGTACATTTTCCCCGAGCTGTAGGTTGCCATTCTCCTCAGATCCTTATACTTAGTCCAGGAAAGGCAGAGGCACTGATATGACATACTGCCAATCTTGAACTCACTTCACCAATGAAAAGCTATTTCTTGTGTAATTATAAAACACTTCAGGGATGCTAAAGCCATCAGGAGAGTGGAGGTTGGTCGCTTTCTGGAGTGTGGACTCTTGATTATTCTCTCAAATCTTAACACTGTGTAGTGTGTAATCTGAATTAGAATACACCAAATGTTAACTAATTGCCCTTAGGATACACATGAAAACTAACCTGAGTATAGCACACAATCTGTGCAGGAATACTTTAAAGTACACGTTAGATAATATAAAAGGCCCTGAAAGAAGTAGCTGTTTCTTTAGCTTCTCCATTGTCGCAAGTTCCCCCTGGATTCTTTGATTCTCATTCTTTCTTTCTTTTCTTTCTTTTTTTTAAATCTGTCACTTTTGCCAAAAGACTTCTTGGCTCCTTATATCTCCCTTCTCTCACCATCACTTCTCTAGTCCAATTTGGGCCCCTCCCATACAGGCCCTAGGCAGGAAAGTATTACCCATTCTAGCAAATTTGGTTGGTGCATCATTCTTAAAGCAGTTAAAGAATCCCACACTTAGAGCTTTCCTATTCATTCAACAAATATCTATAAAAACATACTCCTTGTCCACAGACATCTTTTTTGTTGTTAAGGACAGTGGTTCCCAAAAGTGGTCCATTGAGACCAGTAATCTTCAAGACACATTTAGGGGGTCCATAGGTCAAAACTATTTTTACAGCAACTCTAAGGTGTTATTTGCCTTTTTCACTTTGCTGACATTTGCAGTGATGATGAATAAAAAGTAATAACGGGTAAAACTTCTAGTATCTTAACATTAATCAAGACAATAGCACCAAACTGAAGAGAGCCCATTGCAGTTTTCACAGCAATAATAATAATTAATTAATTAAAAAGCCAAGTTTTTCTTGACGTCTTTAATGAAACAATACAATTCAATAATTTTATTAAATCTTCACTCTCAAGTACACAAATATTTTGTGTGACAACTTGAGAAGTATCCATAGGGAATTTCTGCTTCATATTGAAGTATAAATGTTGTCTTATGGTTAAGTTGTGAGCTGAACAACCAGCTTTTTGCATGGAATACTCTTTTTACTCAAAGAAAACACTGATACACAAGCTATGGCTTTTCAGAGTTATGCATTTGATAGACATTTCCTTGAAAATGCCAATTCAAGAAAAAAGACCATGGTATTTGTTGCCAATGATAAAATTTCAACTTTCAGGTAAAAAATGGACGTTTTCAAAACTTGTATCCATGAGCTTTATGACTTTCTAATTCTTAATGATTTTCTGATAAACTCAATGGCAGTATTAACAAACGTGACTTTTTGATATTTTATAATGAAACATAATATATCTTTCATATTGAACATTTGGAAGATGGACATAACTCAGTAACCAATATTTTCTAACATATCAATGCATGATATCACGAATTCATGTGTAGTAAAATACGATTCCATGTACAAGGTAGACAAATGGATTTTAATGTAGTAGAATAAAAATGTTTACTTATGATTTAAGATTCCACATTGTATCTAAATTTTAGGGAACTTTGACTTAATGAGTTTTGGTGTAGTTTAAAAAAAGAATACCTAGAATTATCTGAAAAGGGCTATTAAAGTACTCCTCCTTCTTTCCTCAAATATTTATCTGTGTGAATTCATATTTTGTTCATATGCTTCAGGAAGAGAAGCATGTCTCAACAGATTGAGTACAGAACCATATATGTGAACCCAGCTGTTTCTATTAAGTCAGACATTAAAGAGATTTGCAAAAATGGAAAAGATCATCACTTTTCTCACAAATTTTTTCTTTCGGGAAATATAATTATTTTTATAAAATATTTTTGTAATATTGTTCATTTTAAATAAGTGGATATGTTTACATTTTTTAGTTTTAATTCTAATAAAGTTAATAGCGACAACTATAACTTGTATAAACAAAACTCTTTGGAGCCTAGATAATTTTAGACTTTTATTCATGTTCTGAGACCTACATTTTGACAACATGGTTTCAGAGAAAGGGAATCAGCAGCAGCAGTTTGCCATACAACACTTAAGAGTAGAAAGTGGTCAGATTTCTTAGAAGTTGATTGTGATTTCATAGCGGTGTTGTTGTTATTGTTGTTGTTGTTGTTTAGACAAGCTTAGGCTGGAGTGCAATGGTACAATCAAGGCTCACTCCAGCCTTGAACTCCCAGACTCCAGTGATTTTTCCACTCCAGCCTCCCAAATAGCTGGGACCACAGGTATGCAAAACCATGCCTAATTAATTTTTTTTTTCTGTGGAGACAGGGGTCTTGCCATGTTGCCCAGGTTGGTCTCAAACTCTGGCACTCAAGTGATCCTCTCACCTTGGCCTCCCGAAGTGCTGGGATTACAGAGGTGAGCCACTGTGCCTGGCTGCAATTTAATCAATTGACCTCAATATGTTCTCAGAGAAATAGACAAGAATGATTGAATAGAAACTATTTGAAGAGTTAAAAAAATATTGCCCTTATGCTTAATAATATTTTTGGAAGAAATTTTAATTTTTACCTATCAAAGAATTTCTTCCAAAGCATATATAGAGTCATCTTTAACTACTCTGGGTGTTTCTATATTTTTTCTATTCCTGAACATAAGACCCAGTATACATTACCTCTTTGCTAGATGTTCCTCTGAATTGGTTTGTTTTACCTAGAATTTTGTTTTACATTTAAGTTTTAATTCCAAATATTAGTTGTTTTTCTCAACTGAGAACTAATTAAAGTATCAACTTGTTTGATAAATTTCTGTGCTCACCAGTCTTCACTGTCTTCTGGGGTTCAAATTTCTTCTTGTTGATGTATACGTTTTAATAATTCTTTCAGATAGGGTTGACTGCAGGTGATTAATTCTTCATATGCTTCAGAAGTAAATGATAATTTTCTATACATTCTATTTTCATGGTTATGTTATTAGCTTTTAGTTTTTTTGTTTTTTGCTGATGAAAAATCTAATTACCATTCCTTGGTAGACAACCTGTTTTTGGGGGGTCTAAAAGTAGGCAATAAAAAAGAAAATGTAGGATAAAAAAGGGACATATTTGGGGCAGGGGATGCTTCCAAATCCCACTACATAGAAAAATGTCAGTTTTGCTTCTGAAATCTGAATTAGACATATCCCTGAGGCCTATTTCTATTCCCAGCCCGTAAGAGATACTTAGTTTAATTTTTTGTTGTTATTTTGTTTTACTTGTATTTTTAAAAGTAAAACATAAATAGTAAACAAATGAGTGAATGAAAGAATGGATAAATGGATAGGGCTTGCTAACTATGTTGACAATAATTTGAAGATTCAAACCTATTGATAATGGAGATGTTGTTGAAGGATCTTTTTCTGCGAATTTAGACTCTAAAGCATTTGTTGATCATAGAGATAAATTAAGAAGTCAGCTTACTGGTCGTATTGGTAGAAACATTGTGTTTCATTCCCCTTTGGAAGGGCTCATGTATTCTTGCTAAGTCTCGCAGGCTGGGTTGGAGTGGGCTTCTGATCCAGAGTGATCAGAAACAGGTGTAATTAGAGGAGCTAGCACACATCATTCCTAGGAGGAAAGTCCTCAGGAATATTTCACAGGCTTGAGTGAAAGGCAAGAAGCCAGGAAGAGAAGGGCTCAGAACTCCATCAATTAATGAAACACAAGTTGATATGAGGCAAAAGATCTAGGGTTATAGTCCCAACCAGAACAAGGGAGCTATATGCAAGCCATGGGGACAGGTAACCTGGTTCAATTATAGTCAGATCAGATATCTTGGAAAATTTATTATGATACCATGCTAACAGACTTTGCAAACTAAATTTAAATTTAGAGAAATAGTTCTTAGTTTCATTTCTCTAAAAATCAATTTGTGTATAGGTGGTCAACACCAGATGTTTGTGAAATCCTAGTATCTGATTCTGCTTGTTAGAATCATACTCTAATTCTAGTATTCTGCTCTGGGCATTTTGTAGGTAATATTGTATGGATTAACAATGATTTTTAAAATATCTTTTAACCATTGAGGATACATAAGCTATTATACCCACAGCTTAAATCTCTTTCTCTCTTTCTCAGACACACACACACACACACACACACACACACTCACAAACATACTTAAGGATAGGTCTAGGGAGATGTGATATTGCACGTGGAAACCCGAAGCAAAATCTTTGAGGTTGATGAACTAAAATTTTGTTAGAACACACACAAAAAAAATGTTTACAAACCGTCTTTTAAAATAATGCTCTGCCTAACTTCCCCCCCCGAGTTCAGGTACATGGCTTAAGTGCTGCTTTGTCCTTAATGCCATCTTCTTGTCAGTTGCTCTGTATGATTAAATCCCGCTACACTCCTTCCCTGTATTATTTATCTCCAGCTTTTCCCTATTGTCAAGCTCCTCCTCCCCACCCTGTTGATGCAAATAGGGGTGTCATCTTTTTGTGGCATTTGTTTTTGTGATGGTCTTTGACCCTACTCTCCTTTTCTTGAGCGACAGGGTCAAAACAGTTTCCTGGTTTTGTTTAGTCTGGAGGTGGCAATGTACATTTGCCTTTAAATCCCTCCCTGGGAAAACCTTGGTTTCCCTTAGAAGCTGGCTAACCCTGCTCCCAACTCACACCTGCTTCCAGCTGCCACGTTTCATGAGCCTGCTGTGCTAAAACACATTCAAATGGCAGGTGCTGACAATTTTACATGATCCCAAAAGCCAGGGAAGCTGGATCAAGAGGAAGCTTTTTACCCTGTGAAAATCACACTGAAGAGAAGTGAAAGAATTCAGCTCTTTATTAGTCATTTTGAGTTCTCCGTCTTGAAGAGCTGAGAATGCATGCCTCCGTGAGCTTGAAGCAGGGTATTAGGTGGTTGATAATGGGACTGAAATTTGTAGGCAAAACTCAAATGTACAGAAGGGTGGCTTTATTTCTCCCAAAGTGGAATCTGTTTCCTAAGTCAGTTTAAAATCTCAATCAAGGCATCTTCCCTTTTCAAATATTCTTCCCTCCTCTTCTTCCCCACGACAACGTGGGGATGGAGAATGAGAAGTTCCACGGGAACAAGGAGGAGGTTTCTGCTTTGCAGACTGTCCCTGCTCCTTGTGTCCTTCTTGCCTCTGCTGAGGTGTATCCTGTCCCTGGGGCTGTGGCTATCAGGTTCTTTCTCTTATGCACTCCCTGCTGAGGGAGCCAGCCCATTTTTTGTTGCTCTGAGTGAGGATGCCAGGACTATTGCAGGTTGCTGGGCCATCTGCTGACCAAATGCCCCATCTCAGTTCTCAGGGTACTCTTTGAAGTTCAATGACACTATCTACCTGACTCTTGGATTTGAACTTAGTCTGAATTCTCTGCTATGAGACCTCTCTGCCCCCTTGCTTTGGCAACCTCTGGCAGGAAATTCTACTCTAGATTCTTAGCTAACCCATGTACCCATCTTGGGCTGGTGAATGAATTGGGTGATAGGAATTTTTCCAAATATTCTCCATGCCACGCTATTATTATGGAAGACTAGGGGTAGGTATATAGGGGAAATTTTTCCGGCCCTCACTGCCCACGGCTGTCTTCCAGCTTACCTCTAGTGTGCTTGCACAAGGCTGGGCTGGGCCTGCAATTAGTTCTGTAGACTAATTGGGGTGAGGGCTTGCTGTGCTTTCCTTACCCAAGAGACCTCTTTTACTTGCTTTGTTTGGATTCATAGGACCTAGGAGTAGGATAATTTGAATAAGCATAAGATCTTTAAAGATTCTTATTCTGGGCAGAAGAGTACCTGAAACTTTGGCCCAATGCAAAATTTAATATCCATGCACATAATGTATTCATCATATTTTCTCTTTAGATCATCACAACTTGCATTTAAAAATTCTAACTTCCAAATAGCCCTTGGTGGTTCATTGTAACTTTTAATAGTTAATTTTACATGCTAATGTGTTCTAGTCATCTATGATTTGGTAATTTGCTTATTTTTTTAAAAAACATAAAATAACATTTAAAGGCCCTATCCATGCATCAAGAATAAAATATAATTTCTGATAAACTTGGTCACTTGTATTAAGTCTGTTCCCACATGAGCAGCTATATAAAATAATTTATCTCAATTGATGATGTAACAAAAGAAGATGTAGTTCAAATAACTGAAGCAGAGATTGGTGAGGAGATTCCCAGTTTTTAGAAGTTTGAACATCTGCTTGCTGTCCTCAAAACCTGCAAAGTATAGGGTTTCATAGATGGACTCTAGCATCTCAGATGCTTCAGTAAGTTCAGAGAAACAACTATCTCTTTTGATTTGACAATGCTGGTCTCTTAACAGTACCAGGAAAGATGTAAGGTGAGTTACAAATTAAAACGTATACTGAGAGAATTATCTTCAATAAACATAAATGACTATATGTGTGCATGCATATGTTAACTTTTATTGGAAATAAGATACTACTCTTTCTTTCCTAGCCAGATAACAGAAAAATAGTAAATGTATTTGAAGATGTTAATGTTTATAATTTTGAATCTAGGGATACATTCCTACTCCTAAGTGGAGGAGGAGCGTGTTCATTGTTATTAGAAAATTAACTGTAAGGCAAGAGCCAGTTTAGAACTAGAGTTATTAATACAAGTAGCATTTGTATCACAACGTATAGCTTATAAAACATTACCATTTGATCCTCACAACAACATTTTGAGAGAAGAGAAAGTTCTAATAATTTATTAGTGAACCCAGATGTTGACACTTTTACAAGATAAATCAAGTAGGAAATAAAACAGGATTCAAGTTTTATAACAATTATTTTGCAAAATAATTTCCTAATAATAGATATATGGCTGCATTTATGTACATTATTTTATCTAATATTTTTTAAGTGGTGAAACAATGTCACCTCTATAAAACAACATGGTTAACCAACTTGGTTGGTTAACAGATTCATTTGTTAGAAAAAGTTAGAAAAAATTTAAATACATAGAAAAGTAAACAGAATGGTATCATGGACACCCATGTATTCAGTAGCTAAATATAGTAATTGTGTGTCTTTTACCATACTTTCTTTATACCATTTTGCTATATCACTTAAAATAAGTTATAGACTTTATGATATTTCATTTCTAAATGCTTTAGAAGCCTTTCTCTAAAAATAGATATATTCCTACTTCACCACTATTATATATTAACTCTAATTCCCCAATATTTTTTCTATTTCTGTTTTTTAATTTTGGGGGGTACATAGTAGGTGTATGTATTTATGGGTTACATGAGATCTTTTGATACAGGCATACAATGTGTAATAATTACATCAGGGTAAATGGGTATCCATCACCTCAAGCATTTAACCTTTCTTTACAATCTAATTATGCTCTTTTAGTTATTTTTAAATGTACGATAAACTATTGTTGGCTCTAGTCACCCTGTTGTGCTATCAAATACTATATCATATTCATTCTAACTATATTTTTGTACCCATTAACCATCCCCACTTCCTACCCCACCCCCTACTACTCTTCTGAGCCTCTGGTAACCATCCTTTTACTCTCTGTCTCCATGAGTCCAATTGTTTTAATTTGTGGTCCTGCAAATAAATGAGAACATGTGATGTTTATCTTTCTGTGCATGACTTATTTCACTTAACATAATGACTTCCAGTTCTATCCATGTTGTTGGAAATGACAGAGTCTCATTCTTATGGCTGAGTCGTAGTACTCCATTGTGTATATGAACCACATTTTCTTTATCCATTCATCTGTTGGTGGACCCTTAAGTTGCTTCTAAATCTTAGCTGTTGTGAATAGTGCTGCAATAAACATGGAAGTGCAGGTATCTTTTTGATATAGTTTTCCTTTCTTTTGGGCATGTACCTAGCAGTGGAATAATGGATCATATGGTAGCTTTATTTTTATTTTCTTGAGGAACCTCCAAACTATTCTCTATAGTAATTGTACAAATTTACATTCTCACCAACAGTGTACAAGGTTTCCTTTTTCTCCACATCCTCAACAGCATTTGCTATTGCCTGTCTTTTGGATAAAAGTCATTTTAACTGGGATGAGATAACATCTCATTGTACTTTTGATTTGCATTTTTCTGATGATTGACGATGTTGAGCACCTTTTCATATACCTGTTTGCCATTTCTATGTCTTCTTTTGAGAAGTGTCTATGTAAATCAATTTTGTCCATTTTTTAACCAGATTATTAGATTTTTTTTTCTATAGAGTTGCGTGGGCTACTTATATATTCTTGTTATTAATTCCTTATCAGATGAATAGTTTGCAAATATTTTCTCCCATTCTATGAGTTGTCTCTTCACTTTGTTGATTGTTTCCTTTGCTTTGCAGAAGCTTTTAACTTGATGTGATCCCGTTTATCCATGTTTGCTTTGGTTGCCTGTGCTTGTAGAGTATTACTCAAGAAATCTTTGTCCAGGCCAATGTCCTAGAGAATTTCCCCAATGTTTTCTTTTCGTACTTTCGTAGTATGAGGTCTTAGATTTAAGTCCTTAATTTATGTGATTTGATTTTTGTATACTGTGAGAAATGGAGTTCTAAGATCATTCTTCTGCATCATATGGATATCCAGTTTTCCCAGCACTATTTGTTGAAGAAATTATCTTTTCCCCAATGTATGTTCTTGACAACTTTGCCAAAAATGAATTCATTGTAGATATATGGATTTGTTTCTGGGTTCTCTATTCTATTCCATTGGTCTTTGTGTCTGTTTTTATGCCAGTATCATGCTGTTTTGGTGACTACAGCTCTTTAGTATAATTTGAAGTCAGGTAATGTGATTCCTCCAGTTTTGTTCTTTTTGCTCAGGATGGCTTTGGCTATTCTGGGTCTTTTGTTGTTCTGTATACATTATAGGATTGGTTTTCCTATTTCTGTGAAGAACGTCGTTGGTATTGTGATAGGAATTGCGTTGAATCTGTAGACTGGTTTGGGTAGTATGGTTATTTTAACAATATTGAATCTTCCAACTCATGAACATGGAATATCTTTTCTTTTTTTGTGTTCTCTTTAATTTCTTGCATCAATGTTTTATAGTTTTTATTGTAGAGATCTTTTACTTATTTGGTTAAGTTTATTCCTAGGTGTTTTAATTTATTTGTAGCTATTGTAAATGACGTTACTTTCTTGACTTCTTTTTCAAATTGTTCACTGTTAGCATACAGAATTTTTGCTAATTAGTGTATATTGATTTTGTATCCTGCAAATTTACTGAATTTGTTTATCAATTCCAATAGTTTTTGGTGGAGTCATTAGGTTTTTCTAAATATAAGACTATGTCATCTCCAAACAGGGATAATTTGACTTCTTTTCCATTTTGGGTGCCCTTTGTTTCTTTCTCTTGTGTGATTGCTCTAGCTAGGACTTTCAGTATTATGTTGAATAACATGGTGAAAGTGGCATGTTTGTCCGAACCCAGATCTTAGAGTAAAGGCTTTCAGTTTTTCCCCATTCGGTAGGATACTAGCTATGGGTCTATTGTATATGGCTTTTATTGTGTTGAGGTATGTTTCTTCTATACTCAATTTTTCCCAGGGCTTTTATCATGAAGAGATGTGGGATTGTATCCAATGCTTTTTCAGCATCAGTTGAAATGATCACATTATTTTTGTCCTTCATTCTGTTGATATGATGTATCACATTGATTGATTTTCATATATTGAATCATTCTTGCATTCCTGGGATAAATGACACTTGCTCATGATAAATTATCATTTTAATGGTTGTTGAATTCAGTTTGCTAGTATTTTGTTGAGATTTTTACACCAATATTCATCAGGGATATTGGCCTGCAGTTTTCTCTTTTTGATGTGTCTTTGGTTTTGGTGTTAGGGTAATACTGTTCTCATAGAATGAGTTTAGAAGTATTCCACCCTCCTCTCTCTCTCTCTTTTTTTTTTAATACCTTAAGTAGGAATGTATTTGTTCTTTAAATACTTGGCAAAATTCAGCAGTGAAGCCATTGAGTCCTGAACTTGTCTTTGCCGGGAGACTTTATTACTGCTTTGATCTCATTACTTGTTATTGGTCTGTTCAGGTTTTGAATTTCCTCATGGTTTAATATTGGTAGATTGTATGTGTCTAGGAATTTATTCATGTCTTCTAATGTTTTGGCATATAGTTGCTCATAGTAGCCTCTAATGATCCTTTGAACTTCTGCAGTATTGGTTGTAATGTCTCTTTTTTCATCTCTGATTTTATTTGCACCTTTTCTCTTTTTTCTTATTCAGCCTGGCTCCAGTTTTGCCAATTTTATTTATCTTTCCAAAAAACCCACTTTTTGTTTCACTAAACTTTTGTATTGTCTTTTTTGTTTCAATTTCATTTATTTCTGCAATGATCTTTATTATTTCTTTTCTTCTACTAACTTGGGGTTTGTTTCACTCTTGATTTTCTAGTTCTTCAAGGTATATTGTTAGGTTGATTATTTCAAGTTTTCCTACTATTTTGGTGTAGGTATTTCTTGCTATAGACTTTCATCTTAGTACTGCTTTGATGGTACCCTATAGGTTTTGGTTATTGTGTTTTCATTTTCATTTAAGTAATTTTTAAATTTCCTTCTTAATTACTTCATTGATCCTCTGGTCATTCAGGAGCCTATTGTTTAATTTTCATATGTTTGTATAATTTCCAAAATTCCTCTGATTGTTAATTTCTAGTTTTATTCCATTTTTGTCAGAGAAGATACTTGATATGATTTCTAATTTTTTGAAAGTTTTAAGATTTGTTTTATGATCTAAAATATAGTCTATCCTCGAGAATAATGCATATGCAGGCGAGAAGGATGTGTCTTCTGCAGCTGTTGGATTAAATGTTCTATAAGCATCTATTAGATCCATTTAATCTATAATGCAGATTAAGTCCAATGTGTCTTTGTTGATTTTCTATCTGTATGATCTATCCAATGCTGAAAGTTGGATGTTGAAGTCTCCAGCTATTATCACATTGGGGTTTATCTGTCTCCTTATCACTATTAATATTTGCTCTAAATATATGGGTGCTGCAATGTTGGGTGTACATATTTACATTGTTATACCCTCTTGCTGAATTGACCCCTTTATCATTATATAATAATATTCTTTGTCTCTTTTTATAGTTTTTGTCTTGAAATCTATTTTGTCTGATATAAGTACAGGTACTCCTGTTCTTTTTTTATTTTCGCTTGCCTAGGATATCTTTTTTCATCCCTTTATTTTATTTCTATGTGTGTCTTTATAACTGAAGTGTGTTTCCTATATGCAAGAGATTGCTGGGTCTTTTTAAAATACATTCAGCCATTTGTGTTTTCATTGGACAGTTAATCCATTTATATCAATGTTATTATTGATAAGTAAAGACTTACTTCTGGCATTTTGTTATTTATTTTCTGGTTGTTGTGTGGTCTTCTCTTCCTTCTTTCCTTCCTATCTTCCTTTTAGTGAAGGTGATTTTCTGAGGTAATATATTTTAAGTTCTTGCTCTTTATTTTTTGTGTATTTGTTGTATGTTTTTTATTTGAGGTTACCACAAGTCTTGCAAATAATATCTTATAATCCATTATTTTAAACCGATGAAGAATTAACACTGATTGTGTAAAGAAACAAACAAATAAGCAAAGAGAAAACTAATGAAAACTCTGCACTTGTACTTCATCCCCCTGCTTTTAAACTTTTTATTGTTTCTATTTACATCTTATTATATTGTCTATGTCTTAAAAACTTGTTGTAGTTATAATTTTTGATTAGTTCATCTTTTAGTGTTTCTACTCGAGATACAAGTAGTTTATGCACCACAATTACAATGTAATGATATTCTGTGTTTTTCTGTGCACTATTACCAGTGAGTTTTGTACCTTCAGATAATTTTTTGTTGCTCATTTAATATCCTTTTCTTTCAGACTGAGTAACTCCCTTTAGCATTTCTTGTAAGAAAGGTCTAGTGTTGATGATATCCCTCAGCTTTTGTTTGTCTAGGAAGTATTTCTCCTGCATGTTCTGAAGGATATTTTTGCTGGATGTACTACTTCAGGAGAAAAGTTTTTTTCCTTCAGCACTTTAAATATGTCATGCCAGCTCTCCTGGCCTGTAAGGTTTCCACTGAGAAGCCTGTGGCCAGACAGGTCAGAGCTCCTTTTTATGTTATTTGTTTCCTTTCTCTTGCTGCTTTACCATCCTTTCTTTATCCTTGACTTTTGGGAATTTGATTATTTAATATCTTGAGATGGTCTTCTTTGGGTTAAATCTGTTTGGTGTTCTATAACCTTCTTGTACTTGAATACTGATATCTTTCTCCAGGTTTGGGAAATTCTCTGTTATAATTCTCTGAATTATCCCTTTGATGGTTTATTTTGGCCATCTTGCTCTGCATTTCTCTCACTAAGTCCTCAATATTAAGTAATATTCTGTCTATATTCAAATTTCGTGCATTAGCCTTAAAATAGCTTTTAGTGTTGGTGTGTTCAAAGAAAGATCCAGCTCAGGTTCACCGATACCATTTGGTTGTTGTATCTTAATAGTTTTACACTGGGAATCCATACACCCTACCTTGCCGCTTCCCTTCCATTCTATGTATTTCTTGAGCTGACCCAAGTCATTATCCTATGGAAATTTCTATCCTCTATATTTCTCAGATTGCTTTTTTGTTTAACTTGTTCCTCTGATGGCTGCTGTTCCTGTCAACTGGAAGCTAGATTTGCAATCTCAATGAGGTTCAAGTGAGGCATTTTTAGAATACTTCATCATGGGTAAGGCACAAGGAGCAGAGGTCTGATTGGTCCACCCTTAGTGATGCTGATATTAATAACAATATGAAGGTGATTGGCATTTGCTTGTACTGCATTTTTTGCAGTTTTCATACTTCATAATTAATTTTACTTAATTCTGGACTCGAACTTGAACACATATACTCATCAAATTTTAGAAGTCACCTCTTACTTACATATGTATACATGTGCTATGTTGGTGTGCTGCACCCAGTAACTCATCATTTAACATTAGGTATATCTCCAAATGCTATCCCTCCCCCTTCCCCCCACCCCACAACAGACCCCGGTGTGTGATGTTCCCCTTCCTGTGTCCATGTGTTCTCATTGTTCAGTTCCCACCTATGAGTGAGAACATGCGGTGTTTGGTTTTTTGTCCTTGTGATAGTTTGCTGAGAATGATGGTTTCCAGCTTCATCCATGTCCCTAAAAAGGACATGAACTCATCATTTTTTATGGCTGCATAGTATTCCATGGTGTATATGTGCCACATTTTCTTAATCCAGTCTATCATTGTTGGACATTTGGGTTGGTTCCAAGTCTTTGCTATTGTGAATAGTGCCGCAATAAACATACGTGTGCATGCGTCTTTATAGCAGCATGATTTATAATCCTAACTAACCTGCACATTGTACACATGTACACTAAAACTTAAAGTATAATAATAAAAAAAGAACTCTTAAAGCTAGAAAAAAAAAAGAAGTCACCTCTTACTTTAGGACGTTGCTTGGGTTGTGTAGAAAATGGTATATAAGTGTTTAACCAATATGAAAAGAAATATGTGGAGAGTGTATTTAATTTATCTTTCAAGTCAAACTGAAATTACTATCATTTTCTAATGAGAAGCTTTTGATGAAAGAAGAAATAGCCACATCTAGACCACTACTTTTCATTCATTTTTTCCCCCCTTCAGTGGCCATCTATTTTTTTGGCAAACCATATTCCTTGAGCAGCTTCGCATGTGAGCTCTGCCTTACAAACACTTTAGAGTTCACAAGAACAAATGCAAACTTTAAAGTTTTCTTTTATTCTCTTCATTTTTCTCCAGCACACACGTACATATACATATACATATACATATACATATACATATACATATACATATACGGAGAAAGAGAATTGAAAAAAAAGTAACTGATTTACTGAATTTTATGACACACTTTTCACCTTATAATGATAATCAGGTTAGGGCTCACTATTAATGTGTACATTGGTGTGTGCATGTGTATATTCATATGCGCATATGTACACACACGTATACCTATATATATACACATATGTATACCCATACACACACATATACACACGGTCATACACCTGTATACATATTTATGTCTGTCTTTCTATCTATCTATCTATCTATCTATCTATCTATCTATCTATCTATCATCTATCTATTTATCTCCAAAAGCTAATTTGAATCTAAGGTATGCTTTGCAATTGATTACATCTTAGAATCAAGGTAATATGTGAGAAAGCCTGGATTAGCTCGATTAAGATGTTTAAAGAGAAATCTCTTTGTTCTATATTCTGTATACTCACATACTTTTCTACATAGTGGTCCTGACATGTTAATAACTTTTAAAGGAGTTTTGCTTTCACCGAGAGTAGCACTTTTACAGCTCTTTGGTGGAGGGACATGTGGCCTGGCTTCACTGATCTGCAAACAACTCCCCCTCTGAGTACTATTATCATCCAGACGGTTTTCTTACTGAGCAGTTATGAAGGTTTATGACCAAGTTATAAACAGGAGAAAGAAGCTTATGTTAATGAGGTCAACACTGTTTCTGTTATGTCTTTGACTTATTAAACAGTCTCCCAAAGGGAATACCTTTTCCAAATGGGCTAAACAGAGAAAATTTTACCAGCTGAAGACTTAAACTGCAACTGTGCTTAATTATGTGGAACTGCATCTTCATCTACATGTAACCATACAATGATACCTACTTTAATACAACTATTATGTTAATATTTATTTATGTATTTGTACATATAATACTTTATATAACGGTATCTTTGTGTTAGTCATCTTGGGCTGCCACAACAAAATACTGCAGACTGGGTGGCTTAAACAACAAAAATTTTTCTCACTGTTGTAGAGGCTGAAAGCCCAAGATCAAGGCGACTGCTGATTCAGTTTCTACATAGGACTCTTTTTGGCTGCCTTCCTCACATGCGACAGAGAGACAGATATTGAACAAGCTCTCCGATGTTTCTTCTTATAAGGACACTAATCCTATTGTGAGGGCCCTGCCCTCATGACCTCTTCTAACCCTACAAAATGGGGATCAGGGCATCAGCATATGAATTTTGGGGAGACACAAACATTCACCCTATAATAATCTTTATATTGAGAGTGAGTGAATGAAAGGAAATACTTATCTCTATTTTGTTGGGTTGATTGATTTACAAATCATCCTGTGAAGATTTGGATTGTATGTGTCTTATTCTCCAGCCGCTGGCTTCTGTATCAGAGAAGGTGCTTCAATTATGGTAAGGATGACACCTGATTAGGTGAGAATGTGCACACCATCAAGTCAGAGTAAGGGCAGGCTTTACAGAAAAGTTCAAATATTGAGTGTACGGTTGATTGTCAAAATAGATTAGTTGATCTCAGCACAATGAATAAGAGTCCGCTGGTTGCAATTTTGTGGTCAATGCATCAATGCTTTATCAATTGGCAATTACAGTCTTAGTCCACGATGTATATAGCCTTTGATAAGGAAGTCACCAGCTTGCTACTGGGTGGAATGGATAACGAGACAGCTGCTCATGCATACCAATGAAGGTTTTGTGAATGCAATTTTGGAGAGCCCTTGTAACAATTTAAATCTAAGTGTCTACATTTAGCTTCTGTGTGATATGTGATATGAGACCACTTAATCAGCAAGTTTACCTCTAATTTTCGCTTCACTTGAATTAAAGCTGGCATGATATTGCATACTCTTACAGATATTAGCAATTTTAAAGAGCAGAAAGAAAGAAGCTGAAATTAGATGCAGTCCAAGGGAAGAATCACAAGAAAGTCACTGGTGGTTTTGTGTTGTTTTCAAAATTTTACAAATCTCTGATGAATATTCTGGTAAAAGAAACAATTTGCTTCTTCACGGGAACACATTTTTAATGCCATTTATTTCCTACTTTGGCAGCTTAAGACAATCTGCCTACATACAAAGGAAGCAAAACAAAACAAAACAAGCTGTTTGGGGAATTGATTCTTCAGCAAATCCCTCTTGAACGAGCCAGTGTCCCCAGTAAGGAGGAAGAATGCTTTACATCCCCTACTTACCACTCAAATGCCTGACCATTGGGCAGCTGAAAAGTTTCATCAACCTAGATGGCTGAAAAATCATTGTTGTACCATTTTGTTCTGGATATGTGGCCAGCCCAGGGGTATGAGCTTTGTTCTTTGTGTGAAGAGAAAGAGAATGCAAGCTTCTCATCTCCCCTGTTAGATTATTGAAGAAGTGACTGCTTCATGTATTATTGTGACATTGCTGCTTCCTTTCTGTACATCTGGCAGGACTGAATTCATCTGCAGCCCCAATAATGTTGATATCCACATGCCAATAAAGCAAATTGAGACTTACCCGAAGCAAAGATAGCTGCTTCAGGAGGATGACAAATAGTAAAAGGGATAGTTACAGTTACATAATAACAACAACAAAAAACCCAGAAAATAGCCTACAATTAGGGAAGGCTACCTCTGCAGGAGTTTATGGTAATAAGTGATCAAACAAATATTTATTTTGTGCTGTGAAGTATTATAAGATTTAAGACCTAAAGATGTTAAGGTATTTTGTCTGTACCTTCAAGGGACCGGCAGAAAGGGAGATCAACATTAAGACAAATGAAAGTATTATGCAAGATGTAATACAAGTTTGTACCATTCACAGGAGAAACTCTTAGGAGAGAGCCAGGCCCCTTCCTGAGGAGGTCAGGAAAGGCTTCAAAAGAGAGGCAAGACATAAAATGTTGAAGGGGAGAAAACTTACAATAAATATCACTAGATAGTATATGATAAGTTAACATGAAGACAGCAAAGATCCTATTTAATAACAGCTTAGAGAAGGAAAATTACTTCCACTGGAGAAAGATAACATATAGAGGAACATATAGAGGAAGAAACTGAAGTGAGTCTTGAGTTTCTTGTGTAGTTTGAAGGTGAAAGAAATCTTAAAGCTAAACTATGCTTACATTGCCTTAGTCCCTTCTTGTGTACAATCTTTGGGGGTCCAGATCTAGTGATTCTAAGATATTTTGGGGTAACAGAAAGTTGTTCCCTTTTGGATGTGTATGGAAATATGAAACATAAGGCTAAGTCATCCCAAGCTGGCTTTGAAATAACCATGTGCTTTCTTTTTTAACATAGTGCCTTTTGTTTTTGTTTTTAAACATGTACAGAAATGCATATAGAACTAGCTTGTCCTTCATTGCAAAAATAGCTCCCAGTGAAACAGCAAGAGGTAAAAGTTATATAGCAGGCAACAACATTATAATACTTGAGAAGGAGAAAGGTGAAGTTCATTTCCTTTAAACATAAATTCAGGAGGGAAAAATATCTCAGTTTTCATTTTGAATTTGACTCTGTGCCTCTTAGAATATTCTGAAGAATTTTTTAAGTAAATGAATCATTTAGTACATCTTTTAGTCCTCGAATTCCTGAGTGGGTCACTTTCCCTCTGTGTGTTAAGTGAGATATCCTTACAACTGTGTAAAGAGTGGATTCTTGGTTGGGCAGACTATGTGATCATTAATGATCACTGAGGATCAGTTCTCAGTTTGACATGAGATGGGAGTAGGTTTGTCAGCTTTCTTCAAAGATGTGTCTTTCCAATTGAGGAAATTTCGCATGCTTAGGCAACCAGCCACCCACACATGCTAGCGCCAGATAGTAATTTCTGAATATGAGTGTGTGCAACTCCTGGATGTGTGTGGCTTTCTGTGGAAAACAAACACCCTGTAAACGGTTGGATGGATTAAATAGAGACTTAAATCGGTATACGACATTGGTTACATTTTCGTTAACTCTTCCCTTTCAATTTTGAAATAATTCTTTCTCATACAACAGTGCATGAAACCATTGTGAGAAGGTTTTATGGTGTGGTAAAAAGACCCTAGGACTGTAGAAGTAGTTGGATGAAGCCCTCATTTCTTAGTTGTGCCTTGAATTACCTTCTGAGACCACACCTTCATTTCAGGAGGCTTTGTCTTCTTTCTTTATAAATACATGGGAGTGAGCTAAATTAATGATATAAACAAATCCTCCATATTCACTATTCTATGATTCTAGGGATTCTGTAAATAAATTGGAGTGACCTTAGTTTCAGAAATGTGACTTTTAGAAATACCTCTGAAATTCCATCTTTAGGAATACTTACATCTTTGGGTTCCTACAGTGCCTAATTCAACTTGACTACCAGGACACAGCTCCCTATCACTTCGTCATGAGACTGATAGAGGGTTTGGCAATATTGTTTGGATTTTGAAGTTGAGTCACTTAGAACACAGATAGGAAGAGATGATTTACATAAGGTCATATTTGTCATGTGCGTAACAAAACCTGTTTCAAGATAAAGCCACCTTTCTCTGCAGCTCTTAGCTGCGTCAGAGAAGCTTTACTTCTGCCACTATTTCTATTATCTGAGTTTATCCTATGATGACAGAAAAATTAATAGGTGATGATGCCCGTTTGGTAATTTCGGGTAGCTCTGTTGGGTAATGGTAGGGAGGCTGTCAGGTTGAACCAAGACTTTTTATTTGGAATCTTGTGGGAAACCAATTTGCAAGATTCGTCCCATTAGTACTTTGCTTAATTTTCTATGTATTTAGCCAGTGATATCAACAATTATTTTCATCCTAAAGCATTAATTACTTGCCATTATATGCAAGGGATTGTTTTAAGCTCTATGGAAAACACAAGAATGGCCCTTTTCTTCAAAAAGAAAAAAGAAAATCTAGTGAGATGATTCAGTATATGGTATGTATTTATTAATTATTATTGAAAAACAATACTATGTTTTGCTATTTATTCTATTGATATGGTAAAATAATACCTAAGAGACATGGAACAAAATTATAAAGATGTTTGGGTTTTTTATTTATAAGTGATGTTAAATCGTGTGATAGGCAATGACTAGTTATGTTCAGAAACCCAATCTACTTCAGGCCTAAAGGATAAACTTCCAAGTGACCCATGAAAAATTCTTGCATATTAGAGCTACTTTTTTCGTTTGATAGAAAGTGAATAATTTAATTTTTTCCAACTTGAAATATATAGGAAAATTATCGTACACTAATTTACTTATTAAGAAACTATAATTATTTGGCTTGCATCATGCTCTGTCATTTAAAATGCTTTCACTCTATAGCTTCTTAGTTTTTCTAGTCCAATTTCAAGTCATAGTGTGTGGATATTGATACTTTTGATATTGATATTTCAATTAAAGCTTAAGATGTGGAAAATGATAAGTCAGAAGTATAATCCTCTTTTACTTATAAATGTAGAATATATTTGAACCTCTTTCCAGAGTTTAAAGATGATGACAGGAGAGTAAAATTCCTTGTCTTCTAAGAGTAAAGCCTGCAGGACCATGGGCCAAATAAACCTGTTTTCTTTATAAATTACCCAGCTTCAAGTATTCCTTTATTGCAATACAAATGGACTAAGGCATCTGTTTGGGGAAAGATGAAATTGAAAAAAAAAGAGTCTACACATTGGAACACATTTCAGAATACTGGATGAAACTGATAGCTATGTCTATGTCAGGTCTTCTCATAGTCATTCATCTGCTAATGCTCATTATGAATATCCTGGTAGGGGATACTGTGGGCATGGTCTTCTAAGCTTATTTGACCAGGAACCACCTTTCTCTTAGACATCTATTAAATATGGAAGAAGTAAAATTTTGAGGAGAAGAGAGCGGACAATGCTGCCTTAGCAGCCATAGAATTTACTCCTTAGGTGAGGAGGCTTGCATGAGAAGAAAGATCTGTAAGGCTCTAATGGTGTCAGCAGACGGGTGCTTCTTCCCTTCCTGCTGTAAAGCCTCTGCAGCACTCAGCTCCAGCCTCTTGCAGCTACCTCAACACTCTCTCCTGCCTCCCTCATCTCCTTTGTTCCAGAAAGAACTTTCTTTGTCTCCATGAATTTTCTCCAAACTCGCTCGCTTTCTGTCTTGTGGCTCACCTCAACACTATCTGAAGATGGAGTCTTCATGCATGTGGGCATCTCTAGTGTCACTTTCCTAGGATAGTCTTTCTTCCATTCACCTCTCATTTTTAATCTTGTCCTTGGGAATCTTCTTGCCAGAGATATTTTTAGGGACTTTTAAAAATAGCATTTAAAACCCTTATCTGAATTCATTAAAACAGTTGTTATATTCTGTAGGATTTGTGTGTGTGTGTCTATGTTTGCAATAGCACCTTTTTTGAACATTTCTCTCCTTTCTTTTTATGCCAGTTTATGAAGTACAGAGAAGCAAATATTAGGCCATGCTTACTGTATTATGGATGTTCATGAATGTGCAGCAAGCTAAGAACAGGAATGGAATTCTGTTCTTTTTTTTCCTCAAAATATAAGTATGAAAATGCAGTGTCTAGTTTGTCTCTAGGATTCTGCCCCTAACTAGGTCTGTAACTTTGCGGAATGTAACCACTCTGTGCTTAGCATCTTCATGTGAAAAGTAAGGGTAATTGGAAAGATTAGATGAGAAATCACATACAAAACATAGAGGAAGGTGCCTGGCATTCCACAGTTGGTGTTTGTACTTCTCTCATTGTTTTTGCCTGCCTTGTTCACTGTTATGGTTTGGCTGTGTCCCCACCCAAATCTCATCTTGAATTGAGGTTCCCATAATCCCCACATGTCATGAGAGGGACCTGGTGGGAAGTGATTGAATCATGAGGGCAGTTACCCTCATGCTGTTCTTGTGATGGTGAGTGAGTTCTCATGAGATCTGATGGTTTTATAAGGGGCTTTTCCCTCTCTTCACTCAGCACTTCTCCTTTCTGCCACAATGTTAAGAAGGACATGTTTGCTTTCCCTTCCACGATGATTGTAAGTTTCCTGAGGCCTCCCAGCCATGCTGAACTGTGAGTCAATTAAACCTGTTTGCTTTATAAATTACCCAGGATCAGGTATGTCTTTATTAGCAGCATGAGAATCCACTGATACATTGACCTTGCAATTGATTGGGTTCAGATGACGCCCCGAGTGCTCCCCTGGGAGAATTCAGTTGGTTTCAAAGTCAGATCAGTGCAGTTGGGCTATAGGAAGAAACCCAATTTCTGGTTGTCTGTTCTAAGACTTCTTTGTGGGTAAAGGCTTCTGTGTGACATGGTTAGTCCAGAGCATGACTCCCAATGACAGAGTATTGCAACATGAATCAGCAGAGACATCTCTGAGGGGGACAGCAGTGTTGGAACTATATTTGAAGGTCATAATAACTGGTAGGTACTGGGATACTGACGACAGACTAAGGATTCAGGCATAGGCCCATATGTTTCACTGCCTGGTGCAAAGCTGTTGCATAGTAAAATGTTCTTTCACTGCAAAAATGGAAAGCAGCCATTTGAACATAAAGGTGCAGATCAGACAAATCCAAGACCAGCCAGAGGGCCCAGGCTACTTCCTCTCAGTGTTCATAAAGGAATATAACTTTTCATTTCTTTTCATCCACTTAGAAAGTAAGATATCTCAGAGTTTCTGAGATTTAATGGAATAATCCACCAAATTAACACAGGTAAACAATATATACAAGTTTGTTCTCCAATAGGTTTAGTTTGCTCTCTCTCTCTCTCTCTCTCTGTGTGTGTGTGTGCATGTGTGTGTGTGTGTGTGTGTGTGTGTGTGTGTGTCTGTTCCTTTGTGTCTGTCTTTCTGCCTGTTGGGCTACCCTCTCTTTGTGCCTCTGTTTCTACCTTTCTTTATCTCATCTCTCTCTCTCTCTTACTCGCTCCTCTTTCTCCCTCTCTTAGCACATAGAAATGCTGCTTAAAAATCTTTTCTCCAACACCATTTGAAAGAAAATATTCTTTTTTAAATATTCTTTTACCTGTAATTGTTACACACTAAACATCACAAGGCAAGTGATACTTTTCTTTGCCTGAGAGGAAATATCTAATATTTTGGAAACAACCAACTTTTTGAAAATAATAATTTTCACTTCTGTGGTATTCCTGTACAATTTACAGAGAACATCTACATACCTAATCTCATTTAATCCTTGCTGATATTGTTATCATCTCCACATTGTAAATGTGAAAAATTTAGGGATTTTCAGACAGCTGAATGGAGCAATTTATGTGAAATACCTTAATAAGAGTCTGGAATGTGGCAGGTGGCCCGAATTTCCTTTGTCTTTCTTTCTTAGATAACACTTCCAGTCTCAATTAACAATTTTCTTACAACAAAGGACAAACTCTTTCCACATTAAACCATAGCCTGTAAGATAAAGCAGTTAGATGAACTACATACTTCTGGAATAGAAGAAAGAGGAGGTCAGCTGTGTGATTTTTTTTTCTACTTCCTTGTATCTGCTGTCTGAAAGCATTTCTCTGTAGATGTAAAGGGCTAAAGCCCATGAGTGACAATTTGGTAAGAGAAAGAAAATGTATATGCTTTTGATTTTTTTGTAAACTTGAAATTTCAGTACACGCATCTGTAGAAAGAGACAGTTTTCTATTTTATTTGCTTTCCCCCATCTATTCATTTATCTTAGGTGGACTGCCATGCAGAAAACACAATAAAATACCCTGCCCTGCAGAGCCCTGAATTTGAGGCACACTTGGGGATATGAGAGCCATACACACAAATACAATATAAGCGGTGGCACAGAACAGTGAGCGCCAAGTGGTCATTTTTGTTGGAATGCTTCACAGAACAGATGGGCTTTTATGAGTTTTCTGAAGTTTGTTATTATAAATCTAAACTGTTGTTCTGAGGATTCTTTTCTTCTATATACATTTTAATATCTCTCCTTGTATTTGGTGCATATGAAATGCAAAGAAAGTTGCTCCTTGGAACTGGGCATCTCAAGGCAGAATAAAGTTCCCTTGCTAGTCTCTCCAGTAATCCTCACTCCATATATTCAAGCTGTTTGGTTGGGGGAAAAGACTTGGTAGTAGATCTGTGACCACACCTTAGGTATTAGTTAGCAGATCTCACAGTACACCCAAAGTTTATCTTTTGTTCATGCATTCTAATCCAAGTTATAGAGGTGCAGGATAGGGGTTGGGGATGGCACTCTCCTCCACATGGTCACTCAGGGATCCAGGCTGACAGAATTTTCAACATTGCCAGATGAGGCTTCAGGGTTTGCTAGAGCAAGAAAAGGAAGGACCTGGAGAATAATGAACAGAATATCCATTGCCATAGCTCATGCATCATTTCTTCCCAAATTTCACTGACCAGAAGTAGTCACCTGACCTTGTCTGTGAGCAAAGGGTTTGGAAAGTATAGTTTTCTTTAAGTTAAAAAGGAGGAATAGAAAATAGAATTTGATGAACGCTGATCTTTTTCTCAGCCTTATTTGATGTTTGGAGAAATAGAAAGTTCAGCATTATTGGGGATTTTGCCATAGGCACACACTTTGCAGCCTTCTCCTTTATTCACAACAGAAATACATGTAAAGAGGACAATCATATAATTAAAAACATCTATATTTGCCTTAAATTAAAATGACACTTATAAAATAACTAAAATTTCTACATGACAGTCACATTTTGATGGTTATTTTCTTACATTCTCTAAGTACACATTAATGATTGAGCCAGGAAAGACTCTAAAATTTTCTAGGTGACCAGGACAGGCCAAGCTGGCATAAACTAGATGTGTCTTTAATATTAGGCTCTTGACATTTAAAAATTTAATGAGATGGGATTTGAAATCAGAATTTTTGCTATTTTCTTTGCTGCTTCGGGCTGAGAAAGGCACTTCTTAATAGTTTTTTTAATGCATATTTTCACCTACTTTTAAAAATAGAAAAAAATTAAAGGCAAAGTCCAAAAACCTGAAGGTGAAAGGAATTCACTTGTCTCATGCACTTCTGGTAGCATTATAAATTAGTAACTCCTTTGGGAAAATAACTCAGTAAAACATATCAAAAGCTTTGCAAGTGCAGTATTGCCACCAATATGTCAAGAGTCATAAAACTGCTCATAACCTCACTAATCCCACCTCTGGGAACCTAACTCCAAGAAACACAGTAATCCCTTATCAACCATCTCAGGTAACATTCATGAAAGGCAGTGTGGTTGGCCACTACTCCAAAAAACTACTTAGGTTAGGTTGTGACTTGATTAAAATTAATGGATTAGGGATATAGAAAATATGGCATTATATAGATTTTTTCAAAATTGAGTAAATAAACATTCTAGAAAGCATCTATTAGCCAAAATGAACTAGCCTATTTGGCATAGACACTGTTTCTTCCTTTTTTTTTTTTTTTTTATTTGTTTTTTTTTTTTTTTTTTTTTTTTTTTTGCAAGCTGACTATTGACTTTGTAAGTTCCTGTGACAGACTTACCCAGAAGTTTTCTTTTCTATAGACTGTATCTCTCCATTTTTTTTTTTTTTTTTGAGATGGAGTTTTTTGCTCCTGTGGTCCACGTTGGAGTGCAATGGTGCGATCCCGGCTCACTGCAACCTCCACCTCCTGGGTTCAAGCAATTCTCATGCCTCAGCCTCCAGAGTAGCTGGGACTACAGGTGCACACCACCACACCCAGCTAATTTTTTTTTTTTTTTTTGGTATTTTTAGTAGTGGGGTTTCACCATGTCAGCCAGGCTGGTCTTGAACTCCTGAGCTCAGATGATCCACCCGCCTAGGCCTCCCAAAGTGCTGGGATTACAGGTGTGAGCCACCGTGCCCAGCCTTATCTCTCCAGTTTTTTAAATAAACTTGTGCTGGTTGGAAATCTAAAGTGTTTTTCGCTTGTGTTCTTGTGTGTTTTATGTCTTAAGTTTTAACTAAGTGGCCTTATGCTCCATATTGGCACATTTTTCTAGGTCGAGTCTTCCATTCATATATTAAATAAACTTGCTGTCTTCATGTTATGTCTATATTCTGTCACATAAAGAGCAGAAATTATGCTGGGGTTTTTGGCTGTGTTTTGTTCTGTTTTAGGGGACCAGTTTGAATGGGCTATTTATACATTGCCAGGTTAAATATTTGTTTATCCCTAAACTCTAGTTTGTAAGAAATTACCATTTCATAATTCAGGCAGTAAAGGCTATTTGCCTAAAGAACATTTTATATTTATTTCAGCATTATTGATTTCAAAGGAAATAAGTACCCTCAAATAATAAAAAATACAAAGTAATAAATGATCTACTATTAGTATATGAACTATTATGAAACCAAATTAATTGTTATGATGACTATGACTCACCCCATTAGAATGTAAATTCTAAAGAATAAAAATAACAGCTATTTTCTATTGTCTTTTACTTCGTGCCAACTATGCTGTCTCTTACCCCACCCTCACCCTAGTGTAAACATTTATCCTAGACGAAATTCACTGTTAGACTGACACAGGGATCTAAGGTGAATATAGCCAGACTTTGGGCAGCATCTTTCCCTCCCTCCTGAGCATTTCTAAGCCACTCCCCATTTCAGAGTTTCTGGATTCTGGAAAGCTTGGGTACATAGTGAATCCGCCACAGGATAGGACAAATTCTGCTTTCACCTTTTTCAAAGCCCCTAACCCCAAGTCTAACCTGGAGGCCATATCACTAAGAGACCATGATGTTATGGCTTGCTGAGCAGCTGAGCAGAAATTTGTTCTACTGTTTTACTAGATACTCTGAGCAGTACGAGACTGAATGTGTAGGTTTACACTGAGGGAAGATCTAATACAAAACAGGAGCTGCAATAATGAAAAAGGGCTGCAATACAAGAGTTATGAGGAACCCAAATTTATTGAATAGCCTGTGATGTTAACAGACATGACAAAATTCAGTTTTTTTAACACAAAGATGAACTGTAAGCTAACTGCTTGAAAACACATACAAACCAAAAGTCAGAAGAGGCTTTCTTCTGTAAGTATTCAGGGATCCCTTTGGTTTTTCTGGATTTGGCTTCTTAAGAGATCTCATGAAGCTTCTGAACACAACCTTGCATAAATTTTCTTTCAGCACTCCCAAAAGCATCCATAAAAAAACTCACTAATGTTTGAGAATCTCGCTTGATAATGTCCTGATCCTTAATAAGCTTTATTTCTCTTAATAAAAATCAATGGGAATCCTGGTTTCCCTTCGATTTCATTTTTAACGAAGGTTTAAGCACCTGCATCACATATCTCACTTCAAGATAGCTAAGGATTTCTCACTTGGGAGCTAAAACGGGGTTCAGACTCAATGATTCTTCTAAGCCCAGTAATTCTGGTGGTTTCATTTAACAATGAGGAAGACATTGAGCTGTAACATTTGTCACAGTTCTATAGAGCTCTTTCTAAGTTCACATACCTAAATGATTTGATTCAAACATATTTATCATCAGATATGTAAAATTATTGACAACATTTCTTTTGATAATTTTTCCAGAAAGAAACTGTCTCCCTCTCATTTTTCTCTAATCCCAGAACTATCACAAACTCTGTTCAAGAATGTCCCACTTAATTATTTACTTGGAATATTTTTACCTTTCTATAAAGCAAGCACCTTGTCATCTCATCTCCCTATAATTACATTTCCATGAAGCTTTGGTCTAAAAGGATGTATGACAGGCACCGCAGAGTCTTAGTGTTTTTTGTTTGTTTGTTTGTTTTTTGAGACAGAGTCTCGCTCTGTCACCCAGGCTGGAGTGCAGTGGTTTGATCTCGACTCACTGCAACCTCTGCCTCCTGGGTTCAAGGGATTTTCCTGCCTTAGCCTCTGGAGCAGTTGGGATTACAGGCACCCGCCACCAAACCCAGCTAATTTTTGTATTTTAGGTAGAGATGGGGTTTCTCCATGTTGGCCAGGCTGGTCTCGAACTCCTGACCTTGGGTAATCCGTCTGCCTCGGCCTCCCAAAGTGTTGGGATTACAGGTGTGAGCCACTGCACCCAAGTCTTAGTCTTCTCATAACAGTAAGCTGAAGGAGCAGGTCTGTTAAATTAATCCATTTTTATTAGAAAACAGAGAGAGAAAACAATTTTTTTAATGAAGAAGCTGCAAAACTATAACTTGAAAGTGAAATTACTTATTTGAAACCTCAGTGCCTAGATAAGTGGCAGACACCTTAAAAACATTTAATTTCTGTTTGTTGAACAAATGAATTAATATATGCCCTAAATATTCATTGCATGGCATTGATCACCACAGGTGTGAAGGAAGCTAGACACAGCAAAGTAGTTATAATCAGTGCAGATATATATTTCCATTATTTTAGATTTTTTTTTCCTAAAAAATAAAATATCACCATCCATATTTCTCATGTAATTTTAAATGCCATTATAAATTGGTATTTGCAGCTATATTTAAGCAAATAGTGAAGAGTAATTTTTAACGGATCAAAAGGTAACATATGTAATACAGTGAAAAATCTTCCTTTCTTTCCAAGTAGTTAAGTGAAAAAGAGGAAACTAAAACTAATCACATGTGTGTGTTATTGGTGTGTGTATGCACTCTCTTCCACTCTGTTGTTGCTCCATGAACATTCACATATTTAATCCTTTCCATAACATGCTGAGGCAGTTACTCTGCTTATTTTCATTTTACAGTTTTTTGCAGAAAACCGAGACTAAGATTATTTAAGTAACTTACCTCAAATTATATAACTGAGTACTGGTAGAACTGAGATTTTAAATCAAACAGTGATTTTGGGACCCATGCTTTTAGGTACTATTCTACATTCTCTTTCTACTAGAATAGTAACACTTCCATAGGTTCTTGGCTAGAATATTACAATTTTAATACTGCGTAGGAAGCTCAGGAGTCAATAAAAAAAAAAACAGGGAAACAAAAACTGTAAAAATGGATTTCACTGTGACTCACTGAATTCAGAAATAGTTTCCCGGAAATGTGACTACTGGAATTTATCTCTGGGAAATAAATAATAATCTTTCTCTTTTTTTTCCATTTTGCATCCTTAAAAACTCTATTTCAATGTGTTCTCTGAATGTTCTAGTATCTCTGTGCTTTAATTAGCAGCTGTTTCCAAGTGTGATAGGTGATTCATGCTAGTCTTAATATTGTATATAATTGGATCTCTAAGGCAAATTTATCTGTCAGAGTAAAATTGATCTACAAGTAGCTCCCTCTAGCTAATACCTAAATTAGTTTCACCTGGACTCTGCCCTTTGATTCTTTCTGAATTATACCCAAGGAAGGAAAGATAACAGCTGGTGTAGGAAGCAGCAATTTTATCCTAAAGAGTCTAAGGTGAGTCCAAAATGATTATAAAAGGAACAAGAAGACTAAACATATTTATAGGCTAACTTTGGAAAATCAAGCTTACAACCCATTATATCTTAGAATATTTAGAACCCACTATTAAGAATGGACACTTTGAAGAGTACTGGCCAAGACTCTTACACCAGTGAACAGAAGAAAATTATGACTAGGGGTTTTGGATTCCATTATACCTTTTTTTTATGGTGTAAATATAGACCCTATGTATTTGCCTGTTCCTCTTGTTTTCTTCTTAGTATTAAGTAACTCCAAACCTACTTACTTTTCTTGGGCAAAGTACACAATGGTCTCTCATTAAACAGATAATCAGTAAGGCTTACTCAGAGGTAGAGTAAATAATGGTTCATTTGTTGTGGTTAGAAAAGGCCCTTTCATTCCCAAGTTATATTATAAGGAGTCCCTTACTTCACCAGGCTGTGCCCCTGAGCTTTGTGCAAAATTTGTCACCTGGGCTCCATGTCTTGTCTCCTCCCATCACCTGCAGAACCTCCCCATAATAGTCATCTTTCTTAAAACAGATATCTCGGTGTCCTTATTGCCTAGAACTGGTCCTGCTAGATTATAAATTATCTTAAATTCTCTTTTTTAAATGTCTAACTCCCCAAGCAATGATCTCCCAAAAAGGTGAGAATTTTGTCATCACTATTTAATAGAAAGAATGCTAAAGAAGAAATTGCAAGATCCCGACTTTGGAAATTGCATTTGCTCTCTCTGATCATCAGTATATTCTTCTGTCACATGTAAGATATTGGCTTCACTAGTTTTTCCCAATGTGTTTTCTGAAGAACACTAATTTTGTTAGGTACTCTGCAAACAAAATGAGCCTGCTCTCAAAAAATTGGGAAAATACTCAGGTATTCCTCCTAGACATCAGTGACATATGGGAAAGACTCTCAGAAATCCTGTAGTTAAAAAATAATACAAAAAGGGATTAGGTTTGTTTCATACATGATTTCCCCCAAATTGTAGACCTCTTTTAAGAAAACATATTAGTATCTTATAACACCAGGATTTCGAGAGAGAATGTTAGGGACAATCAATCTGCAAAATCTCTTCCAACACAAAACCTTCGAAGATTATGATCACTGTGTACCATCCATCAGCATATCACTGTTAAAGTCAAAATATACCTGTGGAGGTAAAATATTAATTGGTTGCCTACTATTAACCTTGCATTTATATTCACCTGAAAAACAAGTTGTTCCATAACCATTATGTAGTAAAAACGAGATTAGAACCCATCGATAAGCAGATGAAATTAGTAGTACTTTACTAAAAGAAGTTTAGATGTAGAAGGAGGAGACCAAAGTGTAAAATATAAGAAAAGGCCAGGAGTGGTGGCTTATGCCTGTAATCCTAGAACTTTGGGAGGCAGGAGGATGGCTCAAGCCCAGCAGTTCCAGACCAGCCGGGGCAACATAGCAAGGACCCCTTTCTACAGAAAAAAATGAAAATGAAAATTAAAATTAAAAAATAAAAAAGAATTAGCCAGGCATGGTGGCAGACTTATTTAGTCCCAGCAAATTGGAAGGCTTTGCTTGCGCCCAGGAGTTCAAGGCTACAGTGAGCTATGATTGAGCCACTGCATTCCAGCCTGGTTGACAGAGTGAGATCCTGTCTCCCTAGATTTAATAACAGTAAGTATTCTGATGGAATTATATATGGAGTACAATGGAGATACAAGGAATGTTTGGCTAAGCTGGGGAATAAACTGACTACGTCAATATAAGAAGGTGTGTCTTGAGATGAGCATTAAGAAGGAGCCAGGATTTATCAATGAAGAACAAATGATTTTCTCAGAATATGATCATCCTCAGGATGGAGGAAGCAGGATGAGATGGAACAAGAAGCAGTGGTGAAGCATCAGAAAACTGCTGATGGGAGGGGAGAAAAATTCAGGGCATTGCCTACAAGGGATATATGGGGCTGAGATTCTCCGGTTAGGCAGCTTAAAAGGGAGTTGAGAAAGTATGGAAGACACAGACACATTTCCCCTGAAACCTTGGCTGTGATAAAAAACAAAACCTATGTAACAAATTCAGATTTCTAACTTTAAATATCCAGAAGGCTTGCTTTATATGATTTAGTATAACAGGGTGACATTTCATTCAGCTGCTTCATAAAAATAGAAAATTACCTTTTGTTTTCTTCTAGGCTTATATATACCTTGAGGGTATCCAAAGTGTTTCAGAGCAGGCTGTATAATATGTTGCCCTGAGGTAGATAAATCCAAAGATGAAGCAAAATGTAACCAGCACAGAGTTACTGGCCTGATTTTAAGAACTGTTTTCCAGGGAAAGGGAATGTAATTCATAATATACATTTCTGGGGAGATAGCATTCCCAGCAAAGAGACCTATATTATTGTAAATATCAAGCAAGCCCAATCCTCTGCTTTCTCCTTACAATTTATCTGCCTCAGGTTGATAATAATAATAATGCACTCACTTCTACAGCATCTCAAATCCAAGGATTTCTGAGTGCTTTGTAAATGTGAATCAATTCTTAAGACACTCCTGTGAGGCAGGTAAAAACTGTTACTAATATTTTATAAAGAAAGTAATATATGAGAGACTTAACAAGTTCTCCATCATTTATTTCTTGGTGCCTGAGATTCTGAGATGAAAATATGCATGCCTGTGTACACACATACACATACACAGAGTGGGCCCTGACATCTGTGGGGCCACAGGATAGAAAGAGGCATGTGTTTAAAAAAATCGTTGTGATAAAATAGAAGGTGAGTTACAGAATACAGCCATGACTCTAAGGATGCCATGATCACCGTTGCTTGCAGAAATCAGCACGAGCTTCAAAGGGAACATGCTGTTTGGTCACACTCATGAAGGATGATGAGGTGTTCAAGGCACAGGAGGTGAAGGAGGCAGAAGATACATTGTATAAAAAGCCATGAAGACATGAAACTGCATGATATATATAAAGAACTGAAAGGAGTCTTGTTTGGCTAGAGCAAGGGGCCACATACTCACATGCCTACCAGGCTAGGCAAATCATGTAAATGGTAAGTATCTGCATGGAGATTCTGGTGACCTGTAAATCATGTCTTTGCCACAGAAGGCAGGGGCTGCTACTCATTTCTACTGGATTGTTGCCCTATAGGACTGGAGGCTCAGTGGTGTCATATGTTCTGCTTTTGCAAGATGAACCAGACATCAGAATTTTGAAATCCTCCTAGAGTGAGGAGGATGGTATGGTCCCTCCAATTCCACAGTGAGAGATGTTAGGGTCTTGCCTCTCATCGCAACTCACGCAATGAGGAAGGATGTTCAGTGCTAGGTGGCTCAAAATGAAAATTTTTTACCCAGCGTATATTGAGATGGTGGTATAGACAGTACTCTCATCTTGGCTTAGAAAGATTACTTCTTGTGTGCTTGAAGGAAAGTCACTTAACTTCTCTGGTCTTAGTTTCCATATCTATAAAACTAAAGGGCTTGGGCCAGAGGAGCTCTAATAGTCCCCTAAAACTCTCTAATGTAATTGTTTTCGTTGGCATTTCCACACCTATAAAAAAGTCCACAAACGAGACACAACTTCTGTGAAATTTCCACAGTTCGTAGTCGTTATTAAGATAATATACAAGAATACAAGAAGGGAAGGTTGGAAAGACAAAAAGAATGAACACACAGAAAACAAATAAAGTAGTATACCTAATTTTAATCACATTACAAACTACATAAAATATGAACGAATTATGCATGCTAATTAAAAGACAAAAATAGAACAGATACAACGTAAGACCAACTCTATGCTGCAAACAAGAGATACAACTTAATATAAAGTCATATATAGCCTGAAAGTGCATGGGAAAAATATATCAAGAATAAATATAAGAAGACTGGAATATCTATATTAATATCAAGTAAAATAAATGTCAAAACAGTGAATATTACCAAAAGATAAAAAGAAGCATTTAATAATGATGAGGGCTAATGAATTAGGAAGAAGTCATGACCGTATGTATGTATTTACTTAATAACAGAGCCTAAAAATATTGAAAGCAAAAATTGACAGAAATGCAAGGAGAAATGAAGATTTCCACCAGACCTCAGGGGGAGATTTCAACTCCCAATTCTCTGCACTAGACAAAGATACCAAGAACATACATTAGGGAAAGGACTGTCTCTTCAATAAATAGTACTGAGAAAACTGGATATCCATTTACAAAAGGATGAAACCATACCCTTATCTCTTTGTGCTTAACAGGACAACTAGACAAAACAATCAGTAAAGACCTACATGATCTGAACAGCACTATCAGCTAACTTGACAAGAAACTACAAAACATATTTTTTTAAGTGCACATGATACATGATACACTGTCCAAGATGTACTATTTATGGGGTCATGAAAAAAGACTCAGTACATTTAAAAGAATTGAAATCATGAAGAGCATGTCCTTTTACACTGATTGCATTAAAATAAAAATTAATAAAAATGAGTTATCTAGGAAACCTTCAAACATTTAGAAATTAATACATTTTAAGTGATCTATGGGTCAAATAGGAAATTATATGCATTTAAAAATATTCCAAAAATAATAAATATTAAAACAACATATCAAAATTTATGAGATGCAGTTAATGTAGTGATTTAAAAAAATGTATAGCTTTAAATGATTATACTAGAAGTGAGGTCTAAAATTACTTGAGATGATCATATGGTTTTTGTCCTTCATTCTGTTAATATAATGTATTTTGCTTATTGATTTGTGTATGTTGAATCATTTTTGCATTGCAGGAATAAATCCCACTTGATTATTTTGAATGATCTTTTTGAGGTGCTGTTGGATTGGGCTTGCTAGTATTTTGTTGAGAATTTTTGCATCTGTGTTCATCAGGGATATCAGCCTAGAGCTTTTTGTTGTTGTTGTGTCTTTTTCTGGTTTTGGTATCATCGTAATGCTTACTTCTTGCAAGGAGTTTGGAAGAATTCTCTCCAATATTTTTGTAATAGTTTGAAAAGAATTGGTATTAGTTCATCTTTAAATATTTGGTAGAATTCAGCTGTGAAGTCTTGGATCCTTGGCTTTTTCTTTTTAGTTTAATTTTTATGGGTATGTATTAGGTACACATATTTATGGGGTACATGAGGTATTTTGGTACAGACATGCAATGCACAATAATATCAGGGAAAATTGGGTATTCATCCCTTCAAGCATTTATCCTTTGTCTTACAAACAATCTAATTATGCTCTTTCAGTTATTTTAGAACGTACAATTAAATTCTATTTACTTTTATTTATTTATTTACTTGAGACAGAGTCTTGCTCTGTCACCCAGGCTGGAGTGCAGTGGTGCTATCTTTGCTTACTGCAACGTCTGCCTCCCGGGTTCAAGAGATTCTCATGCCTCAGTCTCCTGAGTAGCTGGGATTACAGGCATTTGTCATGACACCTGGCTAATTTTTTATAATTTTTAGTAGAGATGGAGCTTTACTATGTTGGCCAGGCTGGTCTTGAACTCCTGGCCTCAAGTGATCCACCTGCTTCAGACTCCCAAAGTGTTAGGATTACTTACAGGCATAAGCCACCATGCCCATCCAATTAAATTTGTATTGACTGTAGTCCTCTTGTGCTATCAAGTATAAGGTCTTATTCATTCTTTTTATTTTATTTGTACTGGGATTTTTTGATGGAAGACTTTTTATTACTGATTCAATTTTGTTACTTCTTATTGGTCTGTTCAGGTTTTCTATTTCATCATGGTTCAGTCTTGGGAGGTTGTCTGTATGTAGGAATTTATCCATTTCTTCTAAGTTTTCCAATTTCTCGGTGTATAGTTGTTCATAGTAGTCTCTACTGATCCTGTGTATTTGTGTGGTGTCAATTGTGAGGTTTCCTTTCTCACCTCTGATTTTATTTCAGTCTTCTCTCTTTTTTTCTTAGTCTAGCTAAAGGTTTGTCTATTTTGTTTATCTATTCAAAAAACCAACTCTTCATTTCATTGGTCTTTAGTATTTTTAATCTGTATTTTGTTTATTTCTGCTCTGATCTTTATTACTAAGCATCAGTGAACTGTAAATCAAAACCACAATGAGATATGATCTCACCCCAGTTAGAATGGTTATTATCAAAGAGACCAAAAGTAACAAATTTGGGCAAGGATGTAGAGAAAGGGAAACTCATACTCTGTTGGTGGGAATGTAAATTAGTGCATCCATTATTGGACTAGCACATTCATACTGTCCATCTAGTGATGGACAATAATATGGAGGGTCCTCAAAAAATTAAAAATATAAGTACCATATGATCCAACAATTCCACTGATGCATATATATATCTGAGGGAAAGGAAATCAGTATTTCAATGAGAGATCTGCACTCTCATGTTTATTGCTGCACTGTTCACAATAGCCAAGATATGGAATCAACCTAGGTATCCATCAATGAATGAATGGATTAAAAAATGTAGTATACATGGGAATACTTTGCAGCCATAAAAAGAACAAAATAATATCCTTTGCAGTTGTATGGATAGAGCTGGAGGCCATTATCCTAAGCAAAATAACACAGGAACAGAAAACCAAATACCACATGTTCTCATTTTTATAAAGGAGCTAAACAGTGAGAACACATGGATGCTAGGAGGGAAACAACAGATCTGGGGCCTACTTGAGAGTGGAGGGTAGGAGGAAGGAGAGGATCAGAAAAAATACCTATTGGGTACTATGCTTATTACGTGGGTGATGAAATTATCTGTACCCCAGAGCCCCATGACACAGAGTTTACCTATATAATGGATCTTTACCTGTACCCCTGAGCCTAACATAAAAGTTAAAAAAAATCAAGAATCTTTTAAAAAATGTTATATATATATATATATATATATATATATATATATATATAGACACACACACACACACACACACACACACACACACACACAATTGAATGCTATTCAGCCATAAAAAATAATAAAATCTGGCTGGGCACAATGGCTCACTCCTGTAATCCTAACACTATGGGAGGCCAAGCTGAGTGGAGATTGCGTCACTGCACTCCAGCCTGGGCAACAGAGCAAGACTCCATCTCAAAAAAATAATAAAAATAATAAATAAAATTAATGAAATCCTGTCATTTGTGCAACATGGATGAGCCTGGAGGACATTATATGGAGTGAATTAAGACAAGCACAAAAGGACAAATACTGCACGATATCACTCATATGTGTAATCTAAAAATTTTGATCTCGTGCAAGTAGAAAGTTAAATAGAGGTTACCAGAGGCTGGGGAGAGCAGGAAGGTGGGGAGGATGGGGAGAAGTTGGTCAACGGATACAAAGTTACAGTTAGGTAGCAGTAATAAGTTCTGGTGTTCTATCACACAGTAGGGTAACTATAGTTAATAATGTATTTTATATTTCAAAATATCCAGAAGAGACAATTTTGAATGTTCTCACCACAAAAAAATGACAAGTATTTGAGGTGATGGATATTCTAATTACTCTGATTTGATCATTATACAATGTATACATATATCAGAACATCACAGTGTACCCCATAAATATATAAAATTATGATGTATTAAGAAAGTAAAATTTAAAATAAATCAATTACTTGAGACACTAAAACAATATAGTCCAATTGGGAGAAAAAACCTTTTCAATAAATAGTGCTGGAATAATATAGAAAAAATAAGCTTCAACCCTTACCTCACACCATACATAAAATTTAATTTGAAATAGATCATGGACTTACATGTAAAGAATAAAACCATAAGACTTTTAGAAGACACATAAGAAGATTTTTCATGACTTGAAAGTAGGCAAAGGTAATTTAGATAGGTCACAGAACAAAATAACTGTGTAGTCAAATATGGTATATTAGTCACAAATTCCTACTAATAAAAAGCTCCTTTAAAATGAATAGATAAGCTGCACAGTCAGAGAAAAACACCTGTAATATATATTGGACAAGGGACACTGAGATCCAAGATTTATAAATAATTCCTAAATTTTGAAGAAAAAAGACAATGCAATTAAAATGAGCAAAAGATTTGTCCATATACTTCCTAAAAGAAGATATATGAAGGACCAATAAGCACATAAAGAGTTGTTCTATGTCATTAATTATTAGAGAAATAAAAAATAAAACTACAGTATGTGTTATTACATGCCTGCTAACATTTTAAAAATGGACAAAACCAAATGCTATCGAGGATGTGGAATAACTAGAACTTTTGTACATCGTTGGTTATGATGTAAGATGGTTCAGCCTCTGGAGATAAAAGTCTGGTGGTTTCTTATCAAAATAAGTATACCTACCTCAGGACCAAGTAACTTTACTTTTAGATTTCAACCTAAAAGAAATTAAAACATGTTCACAAAACAAATACAACCATGTGTCACTTAATGATGGGGATATGTTCTGAGAAATGTGTCATTAAACATTTGAAATGCTTCATTAAGTAATTTTGTTTTGTAATAACAGAGTGTACTTACACAAATCTAGATGGCACATATATATATGGAAAACCAAATGTCCCAGCACCATTACCGAATATTAATCATTTCCCCTACTCGATCTGCAATGCCAATATCAAATGACATATATCAGGTTTCTATATGCTTCATTATAATCTTTTTTTAAATTATACTTTAAGTTTTAGGGTACATGTGCACAATGTGCAGGTTAGTTACATATGTATACATGTGCCATGTTGGCGTACTGCACCCATTAACTCATCATTTAACATTATGTATATCTCCTAATGCTATCCCTCCCCCTCCCCCCACCCCACAACAGGCCCCGGTGTGTGATGTTCCCCTTCCTGTGTCCATGTGTTCTCATTGTTCAATTCCCACCTATGAGTGAGAACATGCAGTGTTTGGTTTTTTGTCCTTGGGACCTCTATTATATATGCTCCGTCATTGACCAAATCATGATTATGTGGCAAATAATTGCACATGAATTTTCACAGCAGTTTTATTCATGATGGCCAAGAAACTGGACATAGCTTACTTATAGAAGAATGAACCAACAAACTGTGGTATGTTCATATTTTACAGTACTATTCATTCAAAAGAAAGGAACAAACTACTGTTACATGAAGTAATATGGATGATCTCAAAACTGTTAGGGTAAGTAAAAGAAGTCTTATGCAACTGATAAACTGTTTGATCAGAGTTATATGAAATTGTGAAATGTTCCAAACAATCTTATAATGTAAAAAAGAAAGAATGGAAGGGAGGAAAGGAAGGAAGGAAAGAAGGAAGGAAGGAAGGGAGGGAGGGGGAGGGAGGGAAGGAAGAAGGAAAGAAGGAAGGGAAGGAAGGAAAGAAGGAAGGAAGGATGGAAGGAAGGAAAGAAGGAAGGAAGGAAAGAAGGAAGGAAGGAAGGAAGGAGAAAGAAAGAAAAAGAAAGAAAGAAAGAAAGGTTGGTTGCTCCTTATGTTCTCAGCAGCAAGGGAAGAATATATTGCAAAAGGGAATAAGGGGGTTTTTAGATTGATGATAACGGTCTATATCTTGATAGGAATTTCAGATATACAGTTACATGCATTTGTCAAAACTCAGTGAATGCACATGTAATATTTGTGCAATTCTTTGAATGTACAGTTTATACCAAAATAGAAACAAAATCAAATATATTGAATTCAGTAGATGATATGCATGTTGAAGTACAAAGACAAAGTGAGGTCTGGTGTAGTGGCTGAGATGGGAGGATTCCTTAAGGTCAGAAGCCCAAGACCAGCTTGGGCAACATAGTGAGGCCTCGTTTCTACAAAATAAACAAACAAATAAATAAAGACAAAGAGAAATAATATCTACAGTTTATTTTGAAATGAATAAAAATGAATATGGATTAGATGGATAGATAAGCGGATAGATGGATAGATATGTGATAAACCAATTACAATGATAGCAATAGAATCAGTGATGATATATGGAAGTTCACTGTGAAATGTTGCTGTTTGAATATTCCCTTAAAAAGTGTGAAAATTAATTTTATTTTGAATACTAGCAAGAAAAAAATGAAAAATAAAATTTAAAAATATTTTCAATTACAACAGCATTAAAAAGAAAATATTTAGGAATAAATTTAAAATATATATGTATAAGACCACATACTGAAAAGTACAAAATATTGCTGAGTGAAAGACCTAAGCAAATGAAGACATGTGCTTTGAGTCACCAGGGAAATTCAGATTTTAACAACAATGGGATAATACTATACAACCACTAGAAAGCTTTAAAAAGATAGAAACATCAAGAGTTAGTGAGGAATGGAGAGCAACTGGAACTCTCATATATTATTTGTAAGAATGTAAAATTTTATAAATTCTTTGGGAACATTCAGGCAGTTTAAACTTAAGCATGCACTTACCATGTGACCCAGAAATTCTACTCCTAGGTATCAACCCCAGAGAAATGAAAACGTGTGTCTACACTAAAGTCTTTTACCTGAATGTTCATAACAGCTTTACTCATAATACCACCAAAGTAAATATAACTCAATATGCATCAACAGATGAATAGGTAAGCAAGTTATGTTTTATTTATAATACAGAACTATATTTTATAATAAAATTTGTATCTGATAAAACATACAGAATATTGATATACATAACAACATGGATAATTATAAAAACAACAGCAACAACAATAAACACAGAATGAAGAACTCTAAACACAAATTTTATTCATAGAAATTCTAAAAAAGACAATAATTTACCATGAGAGTGCACCCGTGATTGCTTAGGGTCACAATTAGGGACTTGGTTGGGAAGGGCACAGAGGAAGTTCTTTGCATGATGGAAATGCTCTATAGTTGATTGTTGTGGTGGTTACTTAGGCATATGCATTTGTGTCGAAAATGTCATTCTTCCTTCCAATCTCCATCTATGACCTAATCTCTTTCTAAACTTTTTCATATTAGGAAATGATATCACCATCTACTTGATCAATTGAGCCTATATCCCATGCATTCTTCTTGACTATTTACTTATGCCCTACATCTAAAACACCACAAAGTTTATGCTGTATCTTGAAAATATTATTTAATCTGTTCACTTCTCTTTCTTTGTAGTGCTACTCTCCTTCTAAGTCGTCATTATCTCTAGCCTAAATTACAGCAATAGCTTCCTCATTGGCTGTGGTCTTCTATTCTTGGATCCCATAGCTCATTGTTTACACAACAGCTAGAGTGGATGTAAAAAAAATACCTAATAAATAAGCAAATAATAATTCAACTTTTTTTGTGGCCTACATAGACTTCCTTGATCTGGCATTGCCTATTTCCCAGCCCCTTCTCCTTCTTCATTGTACTCTAGCCACACTGAGCCTCTGTCTGTATTCTGAATTTGCTGAGCTTGTTGCCATCTTTGGAATACTGTATTACCATTCTTTCTGTCATCACCCTTTCACAGTCTCATTGAATGGTTCTTTTCCATACTTCAGGCCTCAACACAAATGTCTCCTAAGTAATGTCCACTTAGAGCATCCTTTTGAAATTAACTGCTCACCTCTCCCCCCTGCACACACCTCTTATTCTCTATCACATCATCTGTTCTTTTTTATTTTATAGTATTTATTGCATTCTGAAATGACTTATTTGTGTTTTTGTTTAATGGTTTATGTTTTCTGTCACTTGAATGAAAACATGTAGGATAATTGTCAGCCTTGTTTACTGCTGTACCTTGAGAGCCCAAAACAATGCCTTGCACAGAAGACTTTCATAAATATTTGTTGTATGAATAAATATGATGACCAGCACTTTGATTAAATATAGGAAGAAAATCAGATGAGTATTTAAAAAATTATTACATTTTGTGATGATTAAAGTAATATATGTTCACTGAAAAAATTTGAAAAATATACAAATCATAAAAGGGCAATAAAATCACTATCTAGGGGTAAAATATGTACAATTTTGGTGACTGTCCTTCTCATTTCTTTCTCTATCTTTTCTTCTCTCTCCCCATTTCCATCAAAAAGGATTATTCTGAATTACCACTATTGGTACTTACCTATATATATCATGAATTTTTTTCAATCGATTAAGTATTTATATAAAGCATGATTTTTAATGGATGCATAGTATTCAATTCTAAGTTGGTATTTACCTGCTTCCTTATTGTTAAACATTAAAGTCTTTGTGCCTAATTTCCTTATTTGTAAATTGGGATAATAAGACCCATCGTTTTCTAGGATTATCATGAGGATTAAAAAAGTCTGATGAATGTTAACTGTTTAGAACAGCTCCTGGCACAGCACTCAATAAAAATGAGATGATGATAATAATTGTTAAGATTACTAATTTTTTTAGTCAGGTCTATAAAACTTTTTCTTTTTAGATCAAGCTATAAAATGTCATGAGAAGCATGGAACCTGAATAAGCCAATGAGCCTAGGAAGTACCATGTGTGAGGACAACATATGAAATATCAAGGACTTGTGCTTCTTAGTTCTTCTTATTCTAGGGGCTATATTGGTTGACTCTGAGATAGCTTGATGTAGAGTATAATTATTAATAAATAGTTCAAGCCTTTGAAGTGCCACATAAAATTCCAGAGGAATGTATCTCCAGGAGTCTCAATTTCCCAATTTAGTATATAATTAATTTAAGCTTCATAGAGGAGAAGCGATGTGGTCACTTTTAACATAAGGCATTCATTGCTGGGGTATTCATTTCTCTCATTGTCTGTCTCCTATAATATTTAGCTTCCTCTAAAATATTAATGCTCTATGAACGACTTAACATAAATGTTTGAGGAAAAGATACTACTATATGGAAAGAATTATAGCAATCCTGACTTTAACTCTTCTACTCTCTGTGGATGGCTTGTTTTGCCTTCTCAAGAGCCCTCTTCTTATGAGGATTTAGTCTCCTCAACAGTCATTACATTGTCTTACTAAGACTGCTTTTCCCATCCTGGAGCTTCTGACCTACAGGCTGTTGGTATCCTCTAAAGACATTTTATATGTGTGGCAAACCCAGATTCACGTTCTGATCATTGTCTGAAACCTCTCATTTATGGCATTGAGTTCGTTGTTAATTATATGTATTTGGGGTAGAGTGTCATCTAGCTGATTGCTTACTGCTTTCTCTATGGGCTGCTGAACACAAGTTTCATTTCATGTTCTTAGTAGCTGTAACTAGGTAAATGGATTAGTGAAAAGATAACAATCTAATGTAGCTCTATGTGGGAAATTGTATATGGTCCATTTTTCAAACAACAAGAGAAAAACAGAATCCCTGAATATAAGTACCTTTGAAGGTACTTATATTTAAGGTACTTATATTTAGACTTACAGTTTTAGAAATGGTTTTAAGAGGATCCCATCCTCTGCCTGCAGGGATGAAACCTATCAAAATCCATCCACCACACTATTCATGTTTAAGGGTTCAAGTGCTCCATAGCCACATGTGGGTAGTGGCTACTATATTTGATGTTTCCATCACCACAGAAAAATCTAGCAGATTCTAGGAGATTCACGACTTATGTGTTTCTGTAAATAATTTGAAAAGCAAGTGAAAATTACTACTGATGTGGGGGGTGCTAATGGGCTAGCCTATGGAGGAGGGGGACAGCAAGGCCACTGCTAGTGACAAAAGGAGGTGGAGGCAGGACACGAGCCCAAGAAAGTGGGCAGTGAAAGTAGAGCTCACTAGGCGAATGTAGATAAGTCGGATATTCTAGAGAGGCAGAACGATAGACCTGAGCTGAAGAATAAATTATGGAAGAAACCAAGATATTGTCTAATTGCAAGTTGGACTAGTGATAGCTTTTCACAATTCCTTTAATAATCTTTATATGGTTAAATAATTTTATATATTATATACATATTTATAACATATAAAAATACTAAAGTCAAAATTCAAAAATAAAAGAATGAGCAACATGGGCATTCCACAGCAATCTTAAAATAATTAAGGCAAGGACAGGGTTCCAAGATTGATTTTAAGACTGAATCTCTCGAGTCATTCATGGTTGTGGGATTCGAGACAGAATGGCCATTTGTCATGAAAAGACTGGTTATGTGCAAAATCAGAGCTTCAGACTGAGCACTAAGTCATCCTTCAATGGATGCACTTGCAGCTGCATTAAGCGGGGGCCCAGTGAGATCTGAACCGAGGCTGTCTAGGCATTAACAGACAAGGAAGGAGTCAGGGAAAATATTATCCCACAGAAGTAGCTAATGAGTGTAAGATTCAGTCTGTGATACATGGGTATTCCGAGCCTGGGAGCGGGCATCATATATTTCTCAATCAATGGGCAATTCCATGGCTGCCTTGGGGCTGAAATGGTGGAGAACAAAAACAATTGCTAATTCTCAGGCTTATTTACAAAGGGATACAATTCTATTAGAACCATTTTAACAAGTTCCTAAAAGGAAAGGTAGTATACTGTGTACTTTTGTCACCCCAAATCAACGTAACCCCCCATTTCCAGCTCCAACAATGGTACCTTCCCCTTTTCTGAGGCAGAATGGGAGCTGGAATTTTCTATGAGGGTCATTCTGACCTTTATTCCCCTCAGGCACAGACTGAGAAGAAATGAAAGCTCAATTGTATCTCAAAGTCTGTGGTTTGGTAAGTCTCAGCCTTTTCCCACCATCTTTTGCTGGCTCTGCATTTACCATGTTACTACCAAATAGTAATAATAATAATAATAATAATAATAATAATAATAAGCAGATCTAGATGATCTTAAGACTGAAGGTGGAGCTAGTGGAAATGGATCTGCTTCTAATGGATTTTCATAAAAACCTCATACACTTCTTAAGGGTGGTGATTCCTATTTGAGAAACTTTTCTAGATTAGCGGTTTTATTTCTTGTTATTTTTAATTAGTCAAAAATATAGACATAAAGAATTCTTTTCAATAGGTAGAGACCTGGGTTTTAAATGAAACCTGATAATTTAGTGTGACTTCTTCCATATACTGAAATGCATAAGGAGAAGGTTCTTTTAGTTTATTGAGCTATTTACTTTCTGATACTGTAGTGTTTAGAATGAGGACTGAGTGTTATCAAGAAAAGATCAAATGTTTAGCAAGGATAAAACATGCATGATGTCTTTCAGAAATTTTAATCTAAAATGACTAAAGTATATATTAGCTTTTTAATTATAGAAAAATTTAAACATATACCAAAGTACAAAATATAAGAAAAGCCCATGTGCCCATCTCCCAGCTTCAACAATTATCAACATATACAATATTGTTTCACCTACAGCCCTTCTCTCTATAGCCCTACCTCTGACTGTTTCAGTTTGCTGGAAAGCCTAGAAATTATATCATTTCATCAGCATGCATCTCTGAAGCAAAAGGACATTTTTTTTTTAACATCACAAGCTTCTAGTTTTAACTACAGAAAATACAGGATAGCACATTAAAGGATGTCAAAAGAATACAATCAGCAAAATTCCCAATGCTAATAATTCTACAGGATGAAAACTCAGTTTCCTTAACAAATAAATTACAATGGATAAAATAAGATTAAGGGAAAATCTATAAGTGGAAGAGACTCAGACACACATTGATTCTAACCAACAATTATGAGACAATTAAGGAAATTTAAACAGTGACTGGATATTTGATGATATTAAGTGATATTAAGAAATTACCACGTACTTCACACCCCCTCTTTTTTAAAGGTAGGTGAGATAATGACTTTATGGTTGTGGCAAGAACGTAGTTTAATACTTTGCCATTGAAAAATAATATTAAATCCTCATCTATCTGGACAGGTTGATAACCCAGAATGATTCTTAACTGAAGAGTTGTGGGTAATTCTCTTCTTTCTGTGGTAATTTTCATTTACTAAATAGTAGAAGGAGAAAAGTGACAATGAAATATGAAATGAAATAAAATAAAATAAAATAAAATAAGAAATCCTGAGCTCAAAGGTAAACCTACTGACGTCTGATTCCTTTTGTTTTGAGAAGCCAAGAGCTGGTATTTTTTTAAGGGTGAAAGAACAGTGCAGGGAAGCCATTGCTATTTAAGTGTTTTGGTTTTTTTTCTAATATATCTAGAAACAAACCTGGAGTTTAGTAGTACTTCTCTGCTTTTATGAGTTTTGCCTTATTAAAAGTAGAGGAACCTGTTATCTTATGAATACAGTTTACACACCCTCCTCTGTCCTGCAGGGGTGACATAGGCAATTGAAAAAGGCACAGAGAAGATTTCTTGGGCTTTTTCTTTTTTAAAGCTTTCCACACCATGCCATATATTTAAATAACAGGCTAAGATAGGGAGTGATGAGTCTCTCAAGGAAATAAAGACGGTGCACTCATTACAAGGCTCATTAAGAATAAAGTGCAGGAAGGGGGCTCTGAGAACAGACTCTCATCCTGGTATTTATTAGGACAAAGCACTCTCTTTAATGGGGCACCTAAAAAGCTCTCTGCTACAATTATTATTAGGCATTAGTGCTTTTACTAACTTCTTGGGATCGTCTTTGCCCTTCTGTCTGCCTTGGCAAACAGTTGACAACAACACCCTTGTGTTCCAGGCTCCTGTGGCAAATTCATTCTCACTTTTCCTGTCTGTGCTCAGGAGTCCTATGTTTCCAGTCTGTGAGGGCACTTGAAAATTGGACCTCCCTTTAGAGCAAATTGAAGGATATCACCACACTTTATTGCTTATTTCTTCTCCTGAGTCCTTTTTTTCCTTCATTGTAGATACAACTCAACTCGTTAGCTCCCTTTTTCTCTCTCTCCCCAAAGGCAACTGTTGGGAAACTTTTTGAAGTATCAAATAATACAACTAGTAAAGAGTTTAAGCTTTGTGGCCCGTAGGGTTTCTGTTGCATGTGATAGTGCAAAAGCAGCCACCAACCATACATAAATAAATGTGTATGGTTGTATTTCAATAAAATTTTACTTACAAAAATAAGTGGTGGCCAGGTTTGGCCACAGGCTGTAGTTTGTTAATTTGTATGATAATGTTCTAAAAGGGAAGTTCTCATTCCACTTATGAAATAAAAGTAGCCATGTAGTATTTTCAAAGTTTTAATTTTGTTCAGATGATGGTTCATCAGTTAAATTGTTTTTGTTTTTGTTTTTGTTTTTGTTTTTGTTTTGAGATGGAGTTTTGCTCTCATTGCCCAGGCTGCAGTGCAATGGCATGATCTTGGCTCACCGCAACCTCCGCCTCCCGGGTCCAAGCGATTCTCCTGCCTCAACCTCCCGAGTAGCTGGGATTACAGGCATGCGCCACCACACGCAGCTAATTTTCTATTTTTGGTAGAGACAGGGTTTCTCCATGTTGGTCAGGCTGGTTTCGAACTCCTGACCTCAGGTGATCTGCCCACCTTGGCCTTCCAAAGTGCTAGGATTAGAGGCGTGAGCCACCACACCTGGCCTGTCATTTAAGTTTTTAATACCAGCTATGTGCCAGGCTCTGTGCTAGGTACTAAGAATACAGAATCATAAAACCCGAGATTACCATCTTGTAAACAGTTGGACAGACAAGCAGATAGCTACAAAGTGATCTACTTAATGCTATAATAGACACGTGGGTGTATGAGACTGTAGGTTAAGGGAATGAAAGCATTCCTGAGACTTAAAGCATTAAGAAGATTTTACCAGGCAGTGGGCATTTTGAGAGGAAACAGCCTAGGAAAATGCATAGACACCCAAGAAAATAGACCTGTTCCCGGGGCTTTAAGAATTTGAGTGTTACTGCAGCACCAGTATATGTACAGGCTTTAGGAAGGAGGCTTTAAGCAGGGATGGGAGGAGGAATTATTTAGGAGAACAGGAGGCTGGGCAGGTGGGAAAGTCATGCTCTGTGCTAAGGTGTTAAGCTTTTATTTTGTAGGATATGGGTGCCATTGAACAACTTTCATCATAGGAATGCCACGGTGAGGTTTCCCTGCTACTGGCTGGGAAAGAATGTGAAAGATGCAATCCATAAGTCCTTAAAGGCTTTGACTGTTCCTCTGGAAAGCTGTCAAAAAGAAGCAAACGTTTCCAGAACTTGGATGTAGAAAGCCAGTAAGACAACTTAAATAGTATGAATATCTTTCCTGTTCACTTTCCATTTGAGCTCCTGGGGCCAACTATGTTAGCAGTGGATGGTAAATGTTTGTTTGCTGCAGAAAGGAATAAATCTCACTTAGTTCAGTGACAAGAGGAGGAGAATCATTAGGGCTAATAATTACACGATCTATAGTGAATAGCTTCCTTCTGAGTATGATTTGAGGGCTGCTAGGAATCCCCTTGCCCTGAAATGACATCCATCCCCCTTCTGCAGCATCTAAAATTACACAACTGGAGATCTGACTTCTTCAGGTTGAGCGTTGCCCTCTCTAGGAAAGGTATTTTAAGATGCAAATGCTCCTAGGAAACATGATATATGATGTCAATCATAACCTAGTGTGAATGAGGATATAAATCTGACAGAGACTCAGGAAAACATAGACCCCTGAAAAGGAAATTAGGAGAAGTCTTTTAAAATAACAAAAAGACTACATAACCAAGGATGCAGAGAGCAAAGGACAAAGACTAACTGCCTCCTTCTCAATATGGCCTAGGGCAGCATTGAGCGTAATAAGGTGGACAAGGAGAGGCATAAAATAGCAACTGATTAATAAACATGGGCAGGAGAAGTGTATATTTTTCAGACTCAATGGAATTTTTACTGCTTAACAATTCCACAGCCAATTTGTAAAGCTGTCTGGGAGTGTTCAGTCTGTGTGAGGCAGACACAAGAAAGGGGAGGGAGACAATTAGGAGGTAAAAGATGCTTCAGACAAGGAATGGGCTGCAAGTGACAACTGAATGAACCCCCCTCTCTCACTTCTGGCAGCTCTTATTCTTTTCCCAACAAGCTCCTACTTGCTGCTTTGTCTTATGAATGCAAAACTAAAGTGCTTGGGTGAATAAACAAGAACTCTTTATCAAGGAGAGACAGTGCCCAGTTTCTCTGGGCTTGGTGTCTGTTCCTGTGTGAGGCCCATTGATTGGAAGCTGGTGAGAGATGCGAGGGCACATTGCCTCCTTGATGACAAAGCAACCAAGTCTGGGATCGCAGACTGAACTCATCAGAAATTGTCCATCTACTTCTGGCGTCATGATGTGAACCTAAGAAATATATTTCTGAAGCAGGGGCCTGCCTAGATAAGGCCAAAAAACCACCTCAGGCTTTCTTGATTGATTCATTTATACATTGAACATTTAACCACATTTACTGCAGACCCACTCTGTGTGCATGTCCTGATTAGATGCTGAGGACATTCAAAGGCACATGCAGGGATGACTATAACACAAGGCAGGTGCACAAGACTGATGGAGAAGTATGCCAAATAACACAGAAGCAAGGTTACCATCTGAGCATAAAGGATAAATAAAAGCTGATATTCCTCAACTGCAGAGGCAACCTAAGAGATGGGACAAGTGTGAAAGAAGAGTCTACATGATAACTTAATGTGCCTAGCAATGTGATTTGAGATAATATGAACAAGTCTGACCGGAATGTGAAGTAATTCAGGAAGTTGAAACCAGGGCCAGCTATATAGTTGCCTGGTCCTATGCAAAACAAAAATGCAGGACCTCTTGTTCAAAGAGCAGGAGATAAAGGGCATTTTAGTGCCCTTAAAGGTACCAAAGTGTGCAACATATCTCTTTCTTCTGTGGTATCTCTCCTGGCCTGTCTTTTTCTTGTCTTTTTGTATTTAATGTCATGTTCCTTGGGAACAGGGCTACATGCTGGCTGAGTGCAGGTCCTCACATATGCCCAGGGCCCTGACCCATGACTCGGCATGTGACAGCACAAGACTCACCAGCTGCCAGGTTTTGTGTCCCACCAGCCACCCTACAGAGGCACCCTGCGACATCCAGAGGTGGGGAAGTCAATCTCCCCTTCTTGTGTGTCTGCACCTCAGCCCATCAGACAGGTGTCCCCCAAAGGATTGCACCCTCCTTTCAGGGACGTACTATATTTGGATGGGTGTGGGCAAGAAGTTCAGCTCCATTCCCTCTACTGGGTTGGTGCCTCCATCCCCCAGCTGCTCTGAGTATTGGTTCTACCCTTCTCCAGGGTACTGTGTGCAGCCAGTGGTGCTGCCTTGAGAAAAGACGCCTAGGAAGTTATGCAGCCTCTCACCTCAGGACTGGGGTGGGATGGTGGGGAGGGGCTGGCCTGCAGGTAATAATTGACTGATATGGAGTTGTCATTGTGCTCAATGTGGGACAACTCTGAGGTACCGTTTGCATGCTAGGCTAGACCTCCTACGGACTCAGGCCAGCATTCTCCAAGTGAACCCACATCTTTGTCTAGCTTCTTTCCCCACCATATCCTGATTCTCTCTCTCCTTCAAGTTTCACCTGAAAACACTTCCTCATTAAATCACTTGCACAGGAGCCTCGGTCTCAGATTCTGCTTCTAAGGAAATTCAGCCAAGACAAAGTGAAAATGGAATCAGATGTGCTCATGGTGGGGCTGGGGTCATGTTGCAGGATTAAATAGATAGTCAAAATAGGCCTCATTGAGAAAGTAAGCCTTTCATCAAAGACCTAAAGAGGATGAGAGAAATAACCAAGAGTAGAAACATTCCAGTCAGAGGGCACAATTAGAGCAAAGGCTGTATAGTAGTAAGAATAATACACACTGCCACATCTCCCACTGCCAGATTAGACATCTTAATCTGCAGAACTTGTGAATATGTTAAGTTACACAGCAAAGGGAAATTGATGTTGCAGATAAATTAGGGTTGCTAAACAGCTGACTTTAAGATAGAGAAATAAGCCTGGATTATCCAGGTGAGCCCAGTGTAATCACAAGCGTCCTTAAAAGTAGAAGAGAAAGGCAGAAAAGGAGGTTGGAGGAAAGTGTGACCACAGAAGGAAGGCATGGAGATGTAATACTACTGGCTTTGAAGACAGAGGAATAAGATGTGAGCCAGAGAATGTGGATGTCTCTGGAAACTGGAAATGGCAAGGACATGGATTCTCTCCTAGAGCCTTCAAAAGGAAATACCTTGATTTTAGCCCAGTGAGACTCATGTTCGACTTCTGACCCACAGAATTGCAAGGTAACACATTTCTATTGTTTCAAGGCAAAATTTTGTAATAATTTGTTATGGCAGCCATAGAAAATGAATACAGGCCCTAAGGCAGAAGCATACCTGATATGTGAGATGACCAGTAAGGAGGTGTATTAGTCCATTTTCACGCTGCTGATAAAGACATACTCGAGATTGGGCAATTTACAAACGAAAGAGGTTTAATTGGACTTATAGCTGTACGTGGCTGGGGAAGGTCTCAGAATCACAGCAGAGGGTGAAAGGCACTTCTTACAGGTCAGTGGCAAGAGAGAATGAGGAGGAAGCAAAAGTGGTAACCCCTGATAAACCCATCAGATCTCATGAGACTTATTCACTATCATGAGAATAGCACAGGAAAGACCGGCCCCCATGATTCAATTACCTCCCCCTGGGTCCCTCCCACAACATATGGGAATTCTGGGAGATACAATTCAATATGAGATTTGGGCGGGGACACAGCCAAACCATATCAGGAGGCTACCATGACTTGAATCAAGGGAGTGAGAGGAGCATTAGGAGAGGAGGGTAGAGAGGTGTGGTGGACCAGATTGCGGAGTGCCCCATGGGTCATTTCAAGCAAGCAAGGAGGTGTTTATTCTGAAGTGAGGAACCAGCACACAGTTTTGAGTGAAGAAATCTGACACAACTGTTGAAAGGTTCCCTGTGACTGTTATAAGACTAGGCAGCGGTGAGCAAGGGAGACCTGTTAGGAGGCCTTTGCAATCATACAGGTAAGATATAATGGTAGCAAGAATCAGGAGGATAGCAGGGGAGGTGGTACGAAGTAAATACATTTTGAAGATAGTGCCAGCAGGATTTTCTGCTAGACTGAATACGGGAGTGTGAGAGAAAGGTCAGGCAAGAGTGGCTCTAAGGATTTTTCTTGAGCGACTAGAAGAATGAAGCTGCTATCAGTTGAGATGGAAAGGGCTTGAAAGTAGAGCTGGTTTTGAATGTGGAGCATAAGACTGGGTGTTCTTTGGAACTTGTTTCACTGGAGATGACTGTTCTAGCCAAATGAAGATGTTGAATAGGCAGTTGAGGATACGGTTCTGGAGTCTGTAGACATTTGAACTGTGCATAGACATTTGGGAAGGGCCGTCATAGAGATCCAACTTAATGCCATGGAACTGAGTGACATGACCATGAGAATGAGGGGACAAGAGGAACAAGAAGTGAGCCTGAAGGAAGGCCAACATTAAGAGGTTAAAGAGAGATAAAGGACACTAAAATGGGGTGGCCATAAGGTAAAATTAGATTCAGGAGAGTGTGTGGTCCTAGAAGTGAAGAGAAGAAAAAGTAACAGATAGATGAACTGCGTAAAATACATCAAGGAAGACAAGGATTGGTCAGCTACCTTAGTAATAAAGTTATGGGAAACCTTGATGAGAAGAGTTTAATGAAATGGTGGGGAGGAGAGCTTAATTGGAGTAGATAGAAGACAGAATGGGAAGAAAAACTTGGAGCCAACAAGAATAGATAAGGATTTCTAGAAGTTTTGAAATCTGCAGGCATACTGGCAGGCTGGAAACCCAGGGGACAGTGGATATTGCAGCTGGAGCCTGAAGACAGTCTAGGGGCAGAATTCATCTTCCTCAGGGGACCTCAATCTTTGCTCTTAAGGCTCTCAACTGATTATATGAGGCCCACCCACATTATGTAGGGTAATCTGCTTTACCCAAATTCTACCAATTTGAGTGTTAACTATATATAAAATACCTTCATAATAACATCTAGACTGGTGTTTCACCAAAAGCTAGGTATCATGGCCAAACCAGTTTAACACATAAAATCCGTTATCACAGCCATGGTGAAGAAAAGTTGTTGATTTTTTTAAATTTTTATTTTTAATTTTTTTTAAGTATATATGTATGTATTTATTTATTTTATTTTATTTTATTATTATTATACTTTAAGTTTTAGGGTACATGTGCACAATGTGCAGGTTAGTTACATATGTATACATGTGCCATGCTGGTGTGCTGCACCCATTAACTTGTCATTTAGCATTAGGTATATCTCCTAATGCTATCCCTCCCCCCTCTCCCCACCCCATAACAGTCCCCAGAGTTTTATGTTCCCCTTCCTGTGTCCATGTGTTCTCATTATTCAATTCCCGCCTATGAGTGAGAATATGCGGTGTTTGGTTTTTTGTTCTTGTGATAGTTTACTGAGAATGATGATTTCCAATTTCATCCATGTCCCTACAAAGGTCATGAACTCATCATTTTTTATGGCTGCATAGTATTCCATGGTGTATATGTGCCACATTTTCTTAATCCAGTCTATCATTGTTGGACATTTGGGTTGGTTCCAAGTCTTTGCTATTGTGAATAGAGCCGCAATAAACATATGTGTGCATGTGTCTTTATAGCAGCATGATTTATAGTCCTTTGGGTATATACCCAGTAATGGGATGGCTGGGTCAAATGGTATTTCTAGTTCTAGATCCCTGAGGAATCGCCACACTGACTTCCACAATGGTTGAACTAGTTTACAGTCCCACCAACAGTGTAAAGTGTTCCTATTTCTCCACATCCTCTCCAGCACCTGTTGTTTCCTGACTTTTTAATGATCGCCATTCTAACTGGTGTGAGATGGTATCTCATTGTGATTTTGATTTGCATTTCTCTGATGGCCAGTGATGGTGAGCATTTTTTCATGTGTTTTTTGGCTGCATAAATGTCTTCTTCTGAGAAGTGTCTGTTCATGTCCTTTGCCCACTTTTTGATGGGGTTGTTTTTTTCTTGTAAATTTGTTTGAGTTCATTGTAGATTCTGGATATTAGCCCTTTGTCAGATGAGTAGGTTGCGAAAATTTTCTCCCATTTTGTAGGTTGCCTGTTCACTCTGATGGTAGTTTCTTTTGCTGTGCAGAAGCTCTTTAGTTTAATGAGATCCCATTTGTCAAATTTGGCTTTTGTTGCCATTGCTTTTGGTGTTTTAGACATGAAGTCCTTGCCCATGCCTATGTCCTGAATGTTGTTTATTGTTTTATGATGAGGATAGATTTGTATATCAATGAAAATAACCTATGAGAGAGAAAAATATTTGATAATGTGGAAGAGAGAGGGGGGAGACTAGCTGGAAGACTGTCCTTGAGAAGGAAAGAAGGATGGGATCTAATATGTTGTGGAGGGATTGAGTTTGGATAAAGCTAGTTCATCTACTTTAACTGGCAGGAACATACAGTCTTCAAATACAAATGCTGCTTAGTGAGAGAAGTTCTTCGGATTGCTTCAAGGATTTCTAATTAAGAAGGAAGCAACATCATCGGATAAAGGCAGAACAGAAGATGATGTAGTGGGAGACTGAGGAAACTGAAAGTGTCTAAAATAATCCAGTGGGAAAGTGACAAAGTGAGTGGACCAGGCATATAGTGTGCTTAACTGGAAGTATAGAGGCTCTCTTGAAATTCGTGGTCATGAATTTATCAGTCAGTGTGGACAGCCACAGGGCTGTCAGCATAACTAGGCAGAGAACTGTAATTTTATTGAGTGTGATGAAAAGAGTGACGGCAAGGGAGGTAAGGGGGTCAAGGGTATATGTAAGGAAGTGATTATAATATTTGGCTAGGGAATATTAATGGAATAGGAAGGGAGCCAGTGGAGGGAGGGAATTGGGGTAGGGGGTATAAATGAGTTGGGAAAACCAAGTGATAAAAATGTACAGCCAGCAAATCTGTAGAGAGAGTAAAAAGGTAAGGTGGTTGCCAGGGTTGAGGGAGAATGAATAGATGGAAAACAGGAGATTTATTTTTAGGGAAGTGAAACTATTATATATAATACCATAATGGTGGATAGTGCCATTATACATTTGCCTATACAATGTATAATATACAACACCAAGAATCAACCCTAGATAGACTGTATTTAGTAATTATCAATATCAGCTCATCAGTTTTAACAACTGTACCACAAAAATAGATGCTGATAATAGAAAAAAACTTGGGAGTTGGTTTAGAGGAACTCTGTACTTTCCACTCAATTTTTCCATAAATCTAAAACTCCTTTTAAAAAGGTTATTTTTTAAATTGTAGGACTGAGTATAATTCTCCATGATACTACTTTATTTTTTTCTGCATCCACTGCAGCAAATAGAACAGAGCCAGACACATTAGATAATCAATAGTGAGTTAAACACAGTTCCATTAAATTCAAAGTTGTTTCCTTCAGATTAAAGGAAACAATCAACAGTAAAGAAACAACCTGCAGAATGGGAGGAAATATTTGCAAACTATTCATCAGACAGGGATGGAATATACAAGGAACTCAAACAATTCAACAGCAATAATAATAATCTCACTAAAGTGGGCAAAGGATCTGAAAAGATATTTCTCAAAGAAGAAATAGAAATGGCCAACAAACATATGAAAAAAAGGCTCAACATCATTAATCATCAGGGAGATGCAAATCAAAACCACAATGAGCTATCATCTCACCCCAGTTATTAGGGCTATTATCAAACACAGAAAATAACAGATGCTGGTGAAGATGCAGAGAAAAGGGAATTCTTAAGCATTGTTGATTGGAATGTAAATTAGCATAGCCATTATAAAGACAGTATGGAGGTTCCCAAAAAATTAAAAATAGAACTATCATAGAATGGTAGTCCAATTAAAACTAGAACTATCATATGACAAAATTGCATGTTCTCACTCATATATGGGAGCTTAAAAAGTTGATTTCATGGAGATGGAGAGTAAAATGATTAGTTACCAGAGGCTGGGAAGGGTGTGGAGGATGGCAAGGAGGAGGGGATGAAAAGTTGGCTAATAGCTACACATATACAGTTAGATATATGGGTTAAGTTCTAATGTTCAAAAGCACAGTAGGGTAACTATAGTTAAAAACAATGTATTGTATATTTAAAGAGGGCTTGGAATGTTCCTGACACAAATGATGAAAGCTTCAGATGACAGATATCCTAAATACCTGACTTGATCATTACATATTCTATGCATGTATCACTATATCCATGTATCCCATGAATATGTACAAATATTATGTATCAACAAAAGAATTATAAAAAATGTATACACTTATCCAGAAAATCCAACAATAGGAATAAATAACTGTAACACTGAATTTTTAAAATATAGGGTCATGGTTTTAAAAATGAATAAGTAAATAAAACCTATTTAAAAATTAATTTTTGGGTTAGAGAGGCCACACACTTACTTTGTTGGTTTTCAAGTTGGGAAAATGATACAATTTGAATGTTTAAGGGAGGAATGTCAAGGGAGGCTGCGAGCCTGGAGGAAGACAAAATTCCCAAGCCTTGGTCTTCCCATCCAAAGGAAAAGGCACTTTTGATACCTTCTACACAACCTCTCTCTAACAATCTATAAGTCATAGACCGGGATGATAAGAATTTATCTGAGGCCTAAGAAAAGGACCTACTGAGGCCATGTGATCACCAAACTCTCCAATCCCTTAGTGAAAGGCGTAATCCCTTAGTGAAAGGCGTACATTGCAATTTTACCAAATACTGTATGTGCCTCTTTCTTTACTGAGGATTTAATGATGAGGTAGTTTTACTTGAAAGATGAAGCTGGTTTAAACATTTTCCGTAACAAAGGCTCTAAATACTAAATTCTGTGAAATTCCCACTTGGCTTAAAATAAGAAAATACATGATCATCATGATGGTACTGGTAAAGGACCTTACACTTTACTGAAAGAGATCGTTGTAAATGCAGTCCTTAAGTGATCAAAATGTATTAAAAGGCTTATAGCATGTGGAATAAAGTTATGTTAACTAATTAAATAATTTCAGGTGCAATTAACTTGTTCTTTCATAAAATTGTTAGAAAATATTTTCTCAAGTGTTTGGTTCTTTATTCAGGAATGATTGTATTTCAAAAATTAAATGGTGGAGATGATAAATTAATAGTGGCATTAGATGTATATTAAGTTATCTCTATTATCCGCACACACAGGCATGTTAGCACGGACTCATCATTCAATTAATTGCTTTTTGCTACAGTGAGCTTTCAGTCTTGGGAAGGCAACGATCACACACACAGAAAACCAGATGAGCTTTTCGGCCACGTTTTAGAAATAAGAAATCAGATTTTCACTGCTGATGCATACTGGGTCTCTCTCTGTATGACCAGCAGATTTTTGTACTAAATCCTTTCAACTATTGCCATGTGTTCTGAAGGAACATAGTAGTGAGGCCAAAATGGGAAATTCTCCGTCGACTGGAAGAGTATTTAATTCCTTGTTTGTTTGTTTCTATTAGATTAAAAACCCATTAGGGTGAAGGAGGAGATGAGAGATCATCCATTCAGTCCTGCAAAGAATCTGTCTTGTTTTCTAAAGTGCTTTAGGAAAGGAACTTGCCCAATCTCATTTAGGATCAGATATTTCAGGATCTCATGCTGTCTGGTAACCTTTATGTATGTCTCATTTAACTGCCTCATGCTACTTTTTAGTCTGTCTATACTTTGCTGATTATTGGAAGTGGAGAGTAGACTTGTACCAATCTCTAAGTGAGAATCTTGATATATTTGAAGATTTGTTATTAATGCCCTATTCATTTTTCTTTTTCATGGCCCAATATTTTTTTTGTTTAGGCTTTGAATAATTATCTTTATGGCTTGCTTTATGTTGTTTCTCAAAGTCTTCTGTGTCTTCCTATATTGTGGCATTCAAAATTAGACAAGTTTAGGGGAATGGTAAAAACCTGGCTCTGATGGACTGCACATATTTATAAACAATAGAGCTATATTGTTTAGAAGGGGTATATTCTAATGTCTTCCAAAGCCCCCTCTGCAGTAATATTTCTTGATCATTCCCCATCTTTTATTTTTGTCCTTTGTTTTTATGTATATTTATTTCATAAGTTATTGAAAGACAGCACCATTGCTTTTAGACAACCTTGTATAATGTGAAAAATTCCCCATCTATAATTGTGAAATTCAGTGGATTATTTCCATATTTCAATATTAAATCTTTGCAGAAAATATAAGTAGTCCTAGAACTTTGTAAAGGCATCTTTAGGTGCAAGTTAGAAGCAACCATAAAAATACAGATGTACCTCCTGTGCTTTTTGTCAGTCAATAAGTAATTATTGAGTGCCTCTTATCTATCAGGCAAAGATCAAGATAGGCACCATCTTTGACTTTATCAGATGGCCTCCTAATGAAGTATATTGAAATATATCTTTATAACTTGGGTCATATTCCAGAAATAAAAGATCACAATGTAAAGAGAAGCTTGGTGACTCTTTTGGATGGGGGGAAAATGATACACATGAACTAGGTTTTAAAACTTAGTCTTAACTTTCCATCCATATAGTAAGCACAGCAGGTCAGGACGTAGCATCTTGACTTTTCTCCTGAAGGGACTAGCTGTCTTCAAGGCACATAGTTCATGTCGGTTGCATACACTAATTTGTAGGATAGTGGTTTTGAATATTGTACATGAAAATCTAGTGAAAGCCATGGATTCTCATTTCAGGAAAAACAATGAACTTGAAACTTAGGATGTTCCCATGGTCCTTGGAACCCATTTATAGAGTCTAGGATAGTAACTATTGATGGCTCAACATCTTTGTACTAAACCCACTTTCACACCATTTCAGTTGAAGGTGGACAATATCTCAGATGGGTCAAAACGAGGCTTCAGGGGCCCATATGGGACCTCAAGGGGAGAGTTATAATCTGGCAGAAATCACAAAAATCCATTTTACCTTCCTTCAGGCATGAAATGGTAAGATGGAAGAATCAAAGAGGACCACAGTGGAGACTAGGGGGAGGTGTTACACAACTCGAAGTTCAGGCTTGCTTCTAGTCTAAATTTTGAGCTACAGGGATACAGATGGCCTTTGAGTCTCATAATATTCTAACTGGCCCATTACTAAAACAGCACATACAGAGGAAAATTAGGAGCCAAATCTCAGCTATTTCATTCATTCATCAAATATTCATTGAGGGGCTGAAATATCCCAAGCTCCTGTGGAGACCCAGTACCTGGTCTCACAGAGCTCATTTGTTCCACCCCTTGTGATTCACTGATGCAGTGGTAGTTTTTAAAAAAACTACTTGGAGATACAGAAGCTCCTGATCTTGGTCAGCTCCGGTGTGACCATCAATAGGTACTCAATAAATACTGGTTGGTTGATTGGTTTATTACTTTCCCTGATGCATTCGTTTTGTTACAGAATCAGAACAGCTGGGGTTAATAAAAAGAAAAGTTTAGTTTTTAGAGGAGCACAAATCTACATACACTAATTATAATAAAATATTAAAAAGCTACTTAGGGTAACATAGTTATGAACTTGAAGTGCATACTAATGTGAGATTCATTTTGATGTAAAGCATTTTCAAAATCAGCTATCTATCCTCAGAGTGGCCAAAATAGCAGTCCAGAGACGGACATGGAGCATTTCAAATTCAGCAGTATGCTCTTATTGGCCCAGGGATGGCAATAACACAAGCAGCAGCTGGTAAGAATCTGAGTCTATTCTGACTAGATCATGCTGCCTGAGAGTCTAATTTTGCTTCAAAAATAGTCTAATTTTGCTCACAGTGGAAAAAGTGGTATATTCCTTTAGTGTCAACAGACCAGATTGCATCTCCAGTTTGTTTGATGGGAGAACTTGGTTCTGTTCCCAGATACGGCTCTCCTTCATGGATCATTGAATTACACTAAGTGTTTTGAACAAAGTCAGTTTCAAAACATACTGCTTTCCTCCCAAACCTTGGAATTTCTCTTCATACCAAAGTTCCAAGAGCCTATGCTAGTAGGAAGAGAATCTCCGAATATGGGTCATTTTGGTTCCAGACATCAGCTTCTTCATCTGTGGATAGGTAAACCCAAAAGACCCTTCAGGATCTAACATTCTAGGATTTTATAGTGAGTCCTAGAGTTTCTGATATTCTGAAATTTGTGTGAAGATATGTGGGTTATAAGTCTACAAATTGGTGGATAAAAAAAGTAAGTCATTTATGTCAAAAAATACCCAGATTTGAGTATATTATACTTTGGCTTTCAGTGAGGAGACTTTTGATATTGTTCTATTTATCTTTATCGTCACATTTTTTCAGGCAGTAACTATATGTAAAAGAATGTATTACTTCATCAGTTTTTTTTTTTTTAGAGTATTTCTAAGTGAGGGCCCATTACCTGCTTCTAATTCACTTAGTTTCAAACTCTCTGGCCCTAAGTAATGAGCCATGAAGGAGACCAGGTTAGAGAATGACCCGGGAAGGACTTGCAGCCTCCCCAGGGCTCAGGCTTGTTGTCTGGTTGAGGTGCCCTTTCTTTCCAGCATGTGCTCCTCTGTGCAGCCGCCTGTGGCTGCGACAAATCCAGGAGCCTTGCTCCAGGCAGACCACGTTCCACTGAAAACCTGACTTTCTTAAAAATGAACCTCGAAAACTGCAGATGATATAATTTCTCTCTAATCCATCCCCCAGGAGCATGAGACTGAAGGAAAACCATGGGGAGGATTGATGAGCAGCTCTATTTATATTCTATTGATGGGCTAATCTTGCACACACCTGGAGGTGATCTGAGCTTCTACCCACACAAAGGGATCCTGATGTTGGCTCTGGTACTAACAAGTCCAAACTGAGCCCCGGCACAGCGGGGCTGGAATGGGTAGGTGTATTACCTGGATTCTCAGGGGGACCCAGCTGGGGGTACTCTAGCTGGCAGTTGATCTTATGGTAAGGGGTGGAAAGAATGGTAAGAAAGGGATGACAGTTCCTAAAAGGAAGCTCCCTGTGACAATTTAAGAGAAAAGAATTCCTCGTTCCTATTCCTCCATTAAAAAAAAATCCCATTATGTTTCCAGGGTTTTGGTTCTTTTGCTTTTCTCTTTAATTTTTAAGAGTCAAAGAATGTGTCACTTAGCTTCATTATATGATAAATGAAGTTTTATTTTTCTTTAACAACGTCTTACTCCGTTTGGTGCCATCCAGAATAGGAGGTTCCCTTTATGAAACACCTAGAGGTTGGATTTTATTCGATCCCATGTCTGAAATCCACTGAGTATTTAGAATTCTTAGCTTTCTTCAGAATTTCTGGTTGGACTTGGCATACTCACAGGGGGAAAGCCTTTGGAATGTGATAGAAAGCTGTGCTTTGCTGGCTGTTCCCTTATGACTTATTTGGATTGAATAAAGCCAGCTACAGAAGTGGGTGAAGCTATCCCTCATGCTGACATTTAATTTACCTGGGAGTACAATAATCTGAGGAAGAATCAAATACTTGAAAATTTTGCTTCAGTGAGCAAAAGCTAAATGTTTGTACCATATTGAAAAATGATACTTTTCTTTGGAATTTAAAGAAAGGAAAAGAGTAACACATTCACTGATGAAAAGCCAGAGGAAAGAGCAGAACTCTTCTTTGGAATATTCACAATTATGAAGCTGGAGAAAACATTGAAATTTTGCACATAATAATTTTTCAGCTGCCGTTTGATAGAACGAGGTCAATGAGGTCTAGATAAAGGATGGGGTGATAAAGCCTTAAAAAGAAAGGGTGTTTTTAAATGTGGCACAGAAAAGAAAGCAGCTGGAGTTAATATCTGATAATATATGGGAGGTGAAAACATGTTGAATCTTGTACAGAAGTTTGATCAGAGAAGGAGTGGGTAATGTTGCTGTCCAAATCAAAATAACCATTTATAATTACTCCCACCTGCGCTAAAAAATTATGTTCAGACTGTTCTCAATTCATTGAAATTTACAATCATACAATATTATGAGTAATAGTTACTTCTGAACCAAAGTTAATATGCATCTCTCTATTGACAAAATTTGAGTCTATATTATATTCCTCTTTGTATCCTCAGCCATTGACACCATATCTGACACCTAGTAGATGTTCCACATGCTGACTACTTGAATGAAATGGCAAATCTATAGCACACTTAAGCTCTCTGGTTTCCCTTTAATATATATCTGGCTAGTCTTAATTGTTTGCTGTAATGAGTTGAGTGATTATTTTTGTCCATGGAAATCTGGCACTGTATGTCATATTTTTTTGCCATGCATTAATAATCGGGCATTTGAAGCTAATGTCTGCTTTAGATCAAGCTTACAAGGTAGTCATCATGATGGCAAATAGAATATTTGGATGAAATGACCAGATTTCCAACATGCCAAAGCAAGGATCATGGCCAATACTTTTTTCCTCACCTGTCTTTGTGTTTCATGACCACATGCTCATTTAGGATCATGTTTCCAGAAAGTAAGAGCAGGTGTTCCAGCCACCACTCCACTGCATACCTCTCCTCTCCCATCAAATGTCTTTCCCTATGTCCTGGACCTCTGGCGGTGGTTTGTGGTGGCATACCAGACTGTCTCATAATGGCACATACTATTTCCCCACAACTCTCCCAAAGGTGAGTAACTAGACTTCTTACAACAGCTTGGAATATTTCTGATATAGCCAAGATCTACATAAGTTACGGAGAGACCAATTTCACAACTGTCCTACAAATCAGGAATGTTAGCTCTTCCATGTGAGACATGCAGTAGTCAAGCCTTCTGGTCTCTTAGCTATCTCAATTGCTGACTAAAAAATGAATCTGCCTAACACATAAGGCATCACATGCAAAAAGACCTGAAACTTAGCTGTACATAAAGTTTCAAGGAATGCGTAGCCCTCATCTATGCTGAAGCAATATATCAAAAAAATTGGCCAGGCACAGTGGCTCATGCCTATAATCTCAGCACATTGGGAGGCCGAGGCAGGCAGATCATGAGGTCAGGGGTTTGGGACCAGCTCGGCCAACATGGTGAAACCATGTGTCTACTAAAGATACAAAAAATTAGCCAGGCATGGTGGCATGTGCCTACAATTCCAGCTACTAGGGAGGCTGAGGAAGGAGAATTGCTTGAATCCGGGAGGTGGAGGTTGCAGTGAGCCGAGATCACAGCATTGCACTCCAGCCTGGGTGACAGGGTGAGAGTTCATCTCCAAAAAAAAAAAAAAAAAAAAAAAAAAAGCGTTAAGAGCAAAGATTTTGGAGCTAGACAAACAAGCTGTGGGACCTTGCACAAATCATTTAGACTCTCTACATTTCAGTTTTCTCATGTATAAAGTGATAATTTTTAAAAATCAGCGGTGGTGTTGTAAGGATTATATGAGGTAAAGAATATAAAACACTCAGCAGAGCACCTGGAAAATAGTCATCACAAATTTTACACCATCATCCTCACCACCGTCATTATTTCATCATAACATAATCTATGAGAATTCCCAGTAGTGCCATGGTAACTTGAGTCTGAGTTTGCAAAGTGAAAGTTTCCTGGAGATGGAAAAACACAAGAGCTGCCTCAGATGGTAAGATTACCTTGGGTCTCCTACTGTTACCATCACACACACCAAAAGGAGACCCTTGCTAGGCAAAACTTGCAATGAGTGGAAAGCAGTGGTAACAGCACTTAATAGCCACTCTGCTACAGTTATTTCCCTTGGGCTGCAGTATGTGTGATTCATAACATAATGCATATAAACTCTCCCAACAGTGAAAAAGCCCTATTTGGGCATCTGATGATCCATGAATTGAACCAAAGAAGTAACGATATAATCAGCCTGTAAAATGACCAACCCATTTTAAGAACTAAAAATCTATTTTTTAAGCAGAACTGAAACCCATCAACTCTTTACTGGTGTCCAGATTAATTTGCAGCTACAGAAATCTGTGGACAATGATAATAATTTCTTCAAGACCACAGAAAGAAATAAAAAGAAAGCCTTATAAATAAGAAAACCTTACAAATGAGAATGTTCAGAAAGTGCTTTACTCAATGTCTTTATGCAAACTGCGCTAATTAATCTCATACAAACATGGATATTTTTGTAAAGCATAAGCCCAAGTGCCATTTTATGACCATATAATTTACAAGTCCTCAAATTACATTAAAATCACCACACACAGTGTTTACAGTTTAATTGCATGGTTATTTACCATTCCCAATCAAGTGTTATTCATTCAGTACCTCTTTGCCTGATCTTACCTAAAAAAGAAGACACTTTTATGCTGGATTTGAGTGGTAAACATTCAAACATGGTAATACTCAAAGGCAACAAAGATGTGATTTGGAGTAAACAAATTCCATTGACAGAGATTTCAGAGAATGTCCAGGGAGAAAGAATGAAAAGAGATCAACATTTACTAAAATAACATTTCTTTGATTGTTTCAGTTCTACTGAAAAAAGGAAACTTCACTATCTACTGCCCAATATTTATGTAAAGCCAGCTAGGACTATTATCCATATTTTACATTATAAAAACATAGTTCTTCAGTCAAGAAATGTTTATTAAGTGCCATACACATTCCAGATTCTGGGGTAAGAGTAAAGTGTAAAAATAAATAAAGCATGGCCCTTTGATGAACCCACAGATTAGATAACCACTAAGTGTGTTATAGGCATTTCCACAGTTAAGAAATATTTACTACTTATCATCCTTTTGTCACTAAACAATACCATCCTGAAATTAGAAAATCTCACTACCTACCACCATAGAATATCTGTCTTCAGGAAACTTTCTAAGGCTTAGTTTGTAAAACATGGAGGTGGGGAACATAATAGTACCAATTTTCCTTCAATGGTAATATGATTGTAAAGGCTGAGTAAGACTAAAAACTCTCTACAGATTCCTTCTTTGGGATCTGCCTCTGTAGCTGACTTACATTCCTACCCAGGCAAACTGAAGCTTTATTTGCTTTCCTACGTTGCCTAGCAACTCACAATGCCTCACACCCCTGTTAGGATACTAGACAGTTATATCAGGAAACAGTTATTAGATAAATTAACTAGAATGACCCTTAATTCCTAGGATATAACTTTGAATTTTGTCTTTGGGGAGCTAAAATTTTTAATAAAGTGGTCCTCATTATGAAGTCCTCGGACCACCTGCATTTACATTTTATCACATTTTGAAATAGTCTTAGGGAATAGACATTATTATCCATATTTTCAATGTGAAAAATTGTTAAATCAGTTAAATAACTTTCTAAAATTTAAATGATTAGAAACTGGGATTCAAACTGATATCTGCCTGTTTGTCCAGCACATAACCTTTGTACTACATCCTGTCACCTTTGGAAAAGTCAGTTTTAACATGTTGATGATTAATCTAATTTCCCAATTAATTGCTCAATTTTCATTAGGCCTCAGCACTTACGTAGATGCTAATATGTTTTATTCAATATTAAATCACAAAAAAAATCTGTAGACCATATACAGCATGCATGTAATTCATATCTATACAACCACACACATTTTCCTTTAGGGAACTAAGAATGATACATGTAAAATGGTATTTATGTTCTTCATTGCCAATTTTCAAAACAGTGTCACCTTCTGCCTGTAACACATGCAAGTGAAATGTAGCAAACTAAGGTGATTACCTTTGGAAATTGTTGGCCCTAAGATATAGATATTTAAATGACTTTCAATCTGGAAAGTGCATTAAACATATGACCTGTCATTACCATCCAACAATTATCCAAATGGAATCTGAAATATAAAATTATTTCAAATGCTAAGGCTTTGGAGAAGCTTTGGAAAGATATGCGTAGAGGAATATAAGTCCATTTTGTGCAGTGAATTTTGATAATTGAGTCAAGAATGTAGTTACAAATTCTATATCTCCTACTTTATATCTGGCTCTAAATCAAAGAAACTAAGTACAAAATGAGAGCATAGGATTTAGAGACTGGCATAAAACTGGAAGAAAATAAAACACAATAGGCACAGGCCTCACAGTTTTTGTGGAATATCAGTAACTGAGGATTTTCTTTGGGCTCTGGCTGTGGAATATTAGATATCCATACATCCACTGGGAAGTTATTTAGTTGGTAGCCCTTTAGATGATACATGTATTATAAAGCATGCATGTTTCAAACATGTACATGATGGCTAAAATACAAGATAAGTATTAATATTAAAAAATCCACAAAAGATTTTTAAGGATGTAATTTTTTTCTAAGTATGTGTTATCAAGTGGAATTTGTGGATAAGCTGTTGTAGATCATGATTGGAACATGTCATTATTAAAGAGTGATTAATATTTTAACCCAGTAAAGGAAAATTACAATTAAAGTTTTCAGAGCTGGAACACCTTAGAGGTGATCTTTTCTGACTCTTTGATTTCACAAGTTAGGAAACAGATTCAGGAAATTAAATGATTTGTCTAATGTCATTCGGCTAATAGATGGAGGAAGAGATGGCGCTTGAATGATCTTTCTGGAAGAACATTCTTTCAAGTTCACATTTTTCATTTAAATGAGTAAATAAAAGAAACAAAACAGCTTTTGTCAAAACTAAATTTAAAAACTACAATTACTTACAAAAAAGTCTTTTTGAATCCATACTGTATGCTATATGAATAGATATATCCCCCCAAATTTTACTGGATGTTAAATGGCTAAATTTCTACCTCTCATATTGAACATTACCTTGTATATGTAGAGTACTGCACCGTTAGAGCAGAGAAAACAGAAGTTAATACAAATTGTGTTTTTCAAAGATCATACAGTAAGTGAAAAAGCTAGAGCTTCTATTTAGGACCTTGTGATTCTAGAACACACATCCTTTCTGCCTGGCTATGCTACCTTTCACTGAGATGGACTAGGAGAACAAGACACTTATAACACAGATCCAGCTAACAAAGTGATAATTTAAAAAAACATACACAGAGAAAACAAAGAAAAATAGAAAGTGAGAAAAGAGCTGGGGTAAACATAGAAGATAGAGAGAATGATCCAAATGAAACATAATAGGCTTTGTCTTTATCATCAAACATTTTGTCATCATATAAGTATAATTCATTTGAAGAATCTCAGTGTTGTGCAAAAATGTAGAATATTATAATCAACTTAGGAATTATCGTAATAAAACCCCTAGGAAAAATTACAATTAACTTGAGTCAATTAGATTTCTCAAGGATCCTTGACTCTAGCTCTGGCTAACAGGATTCCTAATGAGACAATTAATATTAGCTAATATCAGTATGATTGATTTAAAGGGAACATATAATTATATAGATGTGTGTATATAAAAGTATAGGTTTCTGTATGACTGTGCTTTACATCTATTCAAGTATTCAAAATTCTCAAAATATTTTGAAAGCATGTAAAGATAAGAGAATTCTCATTCCATAGGTAAAAAGCTGAGATTTGAAAATCATGCATACTAGGGCTCAGAGGCAAGGTAAACAGCCTTAGAAAGCCAGGCTTTTGTGTGAACCAGCCTATTGAAATGTCAGTACAGTTAAGGAGTGAGTTTGGGGAATATTTGTTGAGTGCCAACCATGTATCAGTCACTTTCGGCAAATCATCTCCTTACCCTTCACAGTCTCAGAGGGATATGTCGTTATCCCTATTTTACAGATTAGGAAACTGAAGCTAAATAAGCTTAAATAATGACCAAAAAGAGTGGTCAGCATTGCCATGTATTGTTGTATACTGCACAACAGCATCTGGTAGTGAGGAGAGGCAAATTGGGTCTGCCATACGTTTGTGCTCTGCCTGCCCAGGGATGATCTCTGGCGTGGGGCTGTTATTACGGAGAAAGGAAGTGCCATTTTCTAATTTGCTCAAAGGTCAGCGGTCTCACAGAATTACAGAATAAAAATTTGAGCCCATTTATGTCTGAGACATAGATCAAGCTTTTTCTACCATGTCTTGAAGCCCCTGGCCCCCCTCAGAAAGATGCAATCAGAGTAAGTCATGAGTAGCTGCAGCCCATCTCATTCTGAAAGGGCTGGACAATCTGAATCTTAAAGAGTTATTGAGGACAATGAAGGAAACTCTCAAGGAATTCTCCCCTGACTCTTTGAGACAAAACATTATCTGACCTTGAGATCTGAGTATAGATAGAGGGGGAGGAAAAAAACACAATTTAATATTGATTGAGCTGTTTCATTTGTACGATTTTCTAAAATAATAGAGTCACTGTACCATAAATCATCCTTTGTGGTTTCACAAATCAGTGACAAGAGAATTGGCCCCATGCCTGGCACATAACAGGCACTCAATTCACGTAATTATCAAATCGTACTAAAGGATTTCTGATGTTCTCATCAGTAAGAAAAGTGTTTGAGGATGGTAATGTAAATGGATGTATACTACCATTGATGCTAGAGACTTCATATCTGGCTAATGACTAAACTCACATGCAATATGGAAGTCACAGTGGCTGCAAAGGAAAAGAAAGCCTAGGAAAAGGATTGGTGTTCACACTTTTCTCAGCCCTGGCATCTTTGCTTTTTCTGTCTCCTCCACTAGTCAATAAATTCCTTGGGGATAAGGCTCATGGAGAATCTAGTTTATCTTCAGCAGTTCACACTTAACAAGTGCTCTGTGCATAGTAGGTGCTTAGTGAATGCTATTGAAGATATCAATGTTTCTATCTCCTCCCTCTCCTAATACTCAGAGTCATAAAATTGCCCTCTGGACACTCAGACCTCATATTCTATGTTAGAAAAGGTAGACAAAAGTTATGAAGAAAGTCTGCTTGGGGAGCAAAATATTAAAGAGCAATGGAAAACAGATTGTGTTTATGTTCAGCAGTGCATGATCCAGAAATAGCCAGGATTCAGAGAAGAGAGACATTCCAAGAGCTCAGGCTGCTAGAAAAGGTCAAATTAAAACTTAAAGATAGAGATGATGGGGACAAATTATGCAGGAAGAAAGAGCATCATAAGTGTAGAGAAAGGGGTTGAGAAGAATGAGTGTTCAAGAAAGGACTGTGAGAAGCTATTGACCTGGAGTAGAAAATCCTCATTAGAGGTGTTAAAGTTGGAAATTTAAACCTTAAATCCGTGGGACCCTTAAACTTGACCTTCTATCTTTAGTGAGAGGAGTGGAGTAGGGCTAGGGGTGAGCCACAAAAAGCTGAAGTGCTTCAGACAGTTTTATTTATTAATGTTTCAAAGTTTTAGATGATATCATGTTTTGCTTAATATAATTTTACTCCACCCGGGTTAAATATTTCAATTTTAACAACAACTTTGTAGGAAATAATGTTTCATCCCAAAGTCAAGAGGTGGAGAGGTGAGGAGGAAATATTTTTGAGTCTTTGGGCTTTCTGGAGTTCTTTGAAAATCATACTTTGAAAGGGAAAGTCTACTTCTTGCAACTATGTACAAACTACTCTAAGTTTTCTTTCTTTCTTTCTTTCTTTTTTTTTTTTTTTTTTTTTTTTTTTTTTTTTTGAGAGGGTGTCTCGCTCTGTCGCCCAGGCTGGAGTGCAGTGGTGCGATCTCAGCTCACTGCAAGCTCCGCCTCCCAGGTTCACACCATTCTCCTGCCTCAGCCTCCTGAGTAGCTGGGACTACAGGCACCCGCCACCATGCCCAGCTAATTTTTTTGTATTTTTAGTAGAGATGGGGTTTCACCGTGTAAGCCAGGATGGTCTCGATCTCCTGACCTCGTGATCCACCCATCTCGGCCTCCCAAAATGCTGGGATTACAGGCATGAGGCACCGCGCCGCGCCTCTAAGTTTTCTTAAATTCAATCACAGTGTTGGCGCACTATATCGGAGGCAAGATGTGCATGGATGTGGAGTGACATATTGGTATTACCACCATAGGTGCTGCCAACAGCCTGAAAAGTCACAAGAGATCTGTCTGTTCCAAGTTTCACTTCAGAAGCTTTCGTCTTTGCCTTCTCGCTTTTCAGTTAACCCATGGCTAAAATGGTTTTCACTTTTATAAATTGATTTAAAGATGATAGGAATACAAACAAGTCTAGTCCCAAATCAGCAGTCAGTATCAAATAATGTTGCTCTGTTGCCTGCTAGAATACTATGTTATTATAAAGCCAGATGTAGGAAAATGAATGCTAGCTTGGGAGGGTGATGACCCAGGTTTGAATCTCACATCTGTCATAGACCCACTACCTGGTCACTGTGTAGTGCTGGCTGCCAATAAGGATTAGTATCAGAGCTTTTAGTTGTATCATTTCAGGGAAGGTAATCCAATTCTTCTCAGATCTGTATAGCAATGTTTTGTGGTGAAATATATTTCCATGATAATAGATTTGAAATCCCAGTACACCAGAAGAAATATAAATATAATACAAACTGTTGCCATTGGGCATGGTTTTTCCATAGATTTGCTCTAGGGTCCCAGAAAGCAAGTTGCAGCATATACTGATTCTACATATGCAGTATTGGCTGACTTGGGATAAACTGCCCCTTCATCCTGTATTTAGTTGCGTGAATCACAAATTTTTCTCTTCTCTATGACCTTCCTTTCTTTCAGAAAGGGAGGGAAGCACAAACTGTAAGTTTTATTAGGCAAAATGATATAATACCTTCCAGAGAAGTAGGTTTATTCTTCAATGAACATATAGAAGTATTAATCTTTGGAATCATTTAAGACAATTTTAGGAACTGAAAGATTTCCAGCTACAAGACTTGTCTGTGATATGGTCAGAGTATGTTATAGGTGGGGAAGACCCTAGATCCTTTTAGGACTATAACTAGTAGAAATCTCTAAATAAGCTGGGGACTTAAAGGCAGAGAAGTGTATTCTTGTTTGAGCTTTGCCATTGTCTCTGATACCCTGGACCAATCACTTAGGTCTTCTTTGTTTTAATTGTTTTATTTTAAAATTGGGGAAGGAGGGTTGGAAACACTGGGTTAGATTATTTAGTTTTAACACTTGCTGTTTTAGAGTCAATTTCATTTTTGAATGGGCAAATAAATAGATCCCAATAAAATAAACTTTAACAGAATTATGTTTGCTCTTAAATAGGGTCTCTTGTCAACTTACATGCCACCTGTTGATCCTAGCCTCCCCAAATTTCTCAATATGAACGCTGGTATTATTCTTATTATATAGTATAAGTATCAGTCATTTTCCTTGAATATCATGGTCTAAATGCGCTGAACAGGTCAGAGGTAATGTCCCAGTGTTGTAATATAATTATCCTTTTGGTTTCTACCCTCCAACCCATCTTTGAAGATTCTTTGAAGGTTTTCTTTTGTTTTGTTTTGTTTTTTTTTTGAGACGGAGTCTCACTCTGTTGCCCAGGCTGGAGTGCAGTGGCATGTTCTCAGCTCACTGAAACCTCTGTCTCCTGGGTTGAAGCAATTCTGCCTCAGCCTCCCAAGTAGCTGGGGTTACAGGTGTGTGCTACCACACCTGGCTAATTATTTTGTATTTTTAGTAGAGACAGGGTTTCACCATGTTGGCCAGGCTGGTCTCGATCTCCTGACCTCAGGTGATCCACCCGCCTTGGCCTCCCAAAGTGCTAGGATTACAGGCACGAGCCACTGTTCCCAGCCCTTTGAAGGTTTTCTACGTAGACTGTGGCCTATACCTAAATATAGTTTTTTGTATGAAACCCCTTGGGCACTTTCTGGTCTCTCACCTGTGGTGTGCTTTCTGCAGCCGTTGAACACATCGAAAGGTTTCGCTGTTATAGAATGATTTGTCCAAATCACACTGTTTCTCCCCTAAGGCTTGTCTCTTCATAGCACATTCAGGTGTGTCTGCCTCTACTGGGAGCAGGGCAAATAGCTGGTTGGGGTTATGTTTTTCTTGGAGGTAAGATGAATGACTGTGTTGTTTGTCTAGGTGGTTTGGTTATCATCGTTCTTTTTTAACCTATTATTTTATGAATGGCTTCACTGTAATTAGCTTGTCTAAAGGTTTTACTTTCCAACAGAACTGATTTAATGTCCTCCCCATTTTTTGTGATTTCATCACCTACCACTAGAGCAGTATTTTACCTTATTCAAGGTGACCTAGGTTCCATGATTATTGAAGATAAAAGGAAAATGGAGATAGTATTCCCTGGAAATGCAACCTTGGACCACGGAGCTCTTGAAGCTGGTTTCTATATTCTTCTGCTATGCTTTTAGGGAGCATATGTGAAACTTAAATGGACAAGAATGATTTCAAAAGCATGCCTGCACAGAAAGTCCAGTGTGAAGCAGAGCCTGGAAAAGATTGAACAGATGTAGCAGGTGTAAACATGTTTCCTTATCTTGGTTCCTGGATTTTACATCCTCCTAGAAGACTCTCTGAACTGCAGAAAAGGGTTATTGGTACAGATGGTAAACTGCTAAAATGCCCAGAAGGTTCAAGCTCATCTGTGCTTTTAAAGAAGGGGAGGTTTGTGTGTTGTCTGACTCACAGGTGTTTGGAAGGCTCCAAATTACCTTCAGGTTTTTCTGTTTTACTTTGCTTTAACAGATGTCTTGGGTTATATGTTGGAAGCAGCCACTCCTTATGGTGTCCAAGTGTTTAAAATTGGAAAGAGTGTCCCAAGAGCAAGGGGGTGGAGTTGAGCTATTGGCACACAAGCCTGTGCAGTCATTGCAAATTGAGGCTCTGGGCCTTTCTTGTCTCTGAGCTTCTGCCACTGATTTTTTCCTCTGGTCACTGGTTCTTTATTTTCCTGCATTGCAGAGTTTGTATTGTACAATCTTCTTGGCGTAGACACTTCATTATTCCCGAATCTTAATGTGTCTTGTTCCTGTTTCTTTCTCAGCCTGTGGCTGCAACAGGTGCAAACAGGCTATGACCACATGCATTCAGGTGCTCTATTAGCGTGATTTCTCTGAAGCTAGCAACCCTTCTGTTACAGCCAAAGACTAGCACCGAAATGTATTAGCTTCCTTTCCCAGAACAGGAAACTTTCAGTGAAAAAAGCAAAGCTACGTTAGACTAACGTATAGTACAACAGCCTTCATTCTAAAACCTATGCCAATTCTATCATTCAGCCTGAATGTTTGTTCCTGCCATTTATCTCCTCCTACTTTGAATAAGAAGATGTAACATTTCCAGAGAAGAGCATTTTGTAAAATGTATTCCATGGGAGTTTTAATATGTCATATTCGGGGAAAATTCTATGTTGTCAAAAAGTTGACGAAGTCCTGTATTATATAAAAGTAAACATTTTTTTTAAAAACTCTAGGATTTCTTGGGGCCTTTAAATGTGCTAATTTGTGAGTTGAGATCTTGATAAATGCATTATGTAGGATTTATCATTATTTATTTAAACAGGAGTTTTTTTCAGTATGTCATGAGACTAGCACTCCTTAGAATACGCTTCTGAAAATATTTGCTTAGACAAAACAATAAGGCCCAGGAGACCCACATTTAGTAGCAGTTTGCCCTGGGGAAATTCAATACACCGTTAATGATGTTTTTAAAAATCATCATTAATTTGATGGGTAAAGGGAACTTTTAAGGGTTTAAGATTTTTTTGGATTTTCATGAACATTTTGGTTGATTCCCCAATACCTTTCTCCCCTGTACTTTTGTAGTCAAGTTATTTGAAAGAGATTGTTCCAATTCTCAGCTGCTGTTACGGGCTGAGTTCTGTCCTCCAAATTCATATGTTAAAGCCCTAACCTCCAATGTGACTATATTCGGATATGGGACCTTTAAAGAGGTAATTAAAGTTAAATAAGGTGGTGAGATGGGAACCCAATCCAATATGACTAATGTCCTTATAAGAAGAGGGAGGGACTAAGTCCTTATAGACAGACAAGAAAACAGAAAAAAATGCATTTGGAGCTCTCATTAGTCCCTGCCTGCAGGCTGAAGTTTTCAATTATGTGAACTAAGAAGTTTCTTCTATTACTTAAGCCACATTGTATTGTTTTATCTGGAATGAAAATCACTGTAACTGATGTACAGTTTATATATTATAGGGGCCATAGTGAATCAAGCTTTGATATCAGGTTATATGCCTCAATTTGTGGTTCTTTTGGGTCTTTTAATTAGAGGAAAGGCCAGGTGAGGGCACAGTAGGAAAGTATCATCTGCATGCCAAGGAAAGAGTCCTCAGGAGAAACCAGGCCTGCCGATGCCTTGATCTTGGCCTTCTAGACTCTGAAACTGTGAGAAAATAAATTTCCATTGTTTAAGGTACCCACCTGGTCTATGGTACCTTGTTACAGCAGCTTTGGCAGGCCAATACAGTGCCCATGGGGCCTGTACTGGAATATCAGGGTAATCCCTCCCATCACCCCACTGCAATAGCTTTATATAACCCTGACCTAAGCCAGTCAGTCTCATGATATTTCTTTGGACACAAGGATTAATGTAGTGGTACTATTATTAACATAATCCTTGGACTTTTGTTTAATAGTGTCGAAACATGCCCTTTTGTTCCCCATGCACACGACTGAGGAAACACACAGCTTCAGGTGCTGCAGGCAGTCATCTTGTGAAGCTAGTCAGAGGGTAAGGGATGGAAGAGACACAGACAAGAAAACAAAAGAAATGCATTTGGAGCTCTGATCAGTCCCAGCCTGAAGGCTGAGGTTTTCAGTTATGTGAACTAATAAGTTTCCTCTATTGCTTATGCCACATTGTATTGTTTTATTTGCAATGAAAATTATTCCAGCTGATACACAGGCTACACAGGGGCCATAGTGAATCAAGCTTTTATATCAGGTTACATGCCTCAATTTGTGGTTCTCTCAGGTCTTTTAATTAGATAGATTTCTAAATCCTTTATAAGTAATCAAATTGTAGGTTTCAAAATATGATCCCCTTAATGGGTATAAGGCCACTAGACAGTCTAATAGTGGACATATATAGGGGTAGGAACTATGTCTGTTAAGATTCAGCCAGTTATTAATAAAATCTGGCCCTGGAAATGTATAAGATGAGAAAGTGTGTCCCACTTAGGCTGTAGAAATTGGGGTCTTCTCAAGACATTTAACAATATGAATTTCTAAGACCTGGGTGGCCCTTGATGCTGAAAAATGCATCTCTACAGCTTAATTCCTGGTTTCACTTGGGTAAAGCTGGCAAACTGGATCCATCCACTTTGGCTTTTCTTTTAAGCAAACCACATGTAAGCTTTCCTGAGCTTAAAAACAGAAATGAGGCCACCGCTGGAAGTAGACTGAGTCGAATTTCTCACAGGAGAGGGACATGTTAACTGGACAGTGTCTTATGCACTAGCAAACACTGCTGTCTCCAATTCTGGCTTGGCAGCTTACTCATGTTCTTGGAATTGGTCACTTTTTCATTTCCTGGATCTAGGTTTTGTCAACTGTATTTGTCAATTTTTGTCAAAATTAACGATCCTGACTCAGGTTTTGTCCACAGGTAAAATTCAAAGGCTAGCAATCAAAACTTCAGACAATAAATATTCATTAAATATTTACTATGTGCCAAGCATAGTAAATATTTACTATGTGCCAAGACACTGAGGTATGTAAAACAGATAAAAATCCCTGTACTCATAGAATTTAGAATTGTGTGCGTGTGTATGTGCACATACAGGGATACAAATCTATATAATTGTATACAGTATGTCAGATGGGGAAAGGGGTTAAACACTTGTAGGTTTGTACTGTGTCCAACTGCCTAAGCTGGAACCATGTTTCCCAGCATCCCTTTCCTCGTATGGTTCCTGGGTGGAATTGGCCAAAGAGGAATTTTCGCAAGGTTTGGAGGTTGGAAATGAAGCAGCAGCCGTGCTATCTGCACATCATCATGGCTACATGCTGTGAAAGACGGATGCAGAGGTGCCAGAGCCTTCTGCCTCCTCCTCTCCCCTTGCTCTGTGTCCAGCTCTTTCTCCTGTCTGTCCTGCTGACCTACGGCAATCTCAGGCCGACCAATAGAAGCAGAGGCAAGAGCCTTCTGCTGACTTTACCAGCTCTCCTATGCTGCCCAATTCCAGCTCCATGTGCCTCACCACCAGTATTCTTTTGGAAAGCTCCTATTTGTCCATCATCTGCAACAGTGCTTCAGGAGGGCTGCTTCAGGACATTTCTCCAGCCTCCTAGTTCCCTTCTTAGAGGCTTTGTTCCCCAGTTGTTCTTTGTGTAAGGCCTTATTTCTATAATACACCCATGTTTCATCCCACTCTTAGTGGTCCTGCTTCCCTAGTTGAACTGTGACTGATACAAGCATTACGGAAAAGTAAGTAGGGTCAGAAACAGGAAGTGCTTATGGGAAGTGAGCTGTACTTTTAAATAATATAATTGGAGAAGTCTTCACTAAGAAAGAGATATTGGAACATAAAGCCGAAGTGGTAAAGAAAATAATTTTAAAAAATCCTTTCTCAAGCACATGAAGACTATTCGAAGTATAATCAAAGTAATAAAAGATTTGGCGGAGCAACACCTACAACTTTATATATCTTATAATGCTGCATAAATATACTAATCGCAAAAATACTCTATGATTTTCTTCAGAGTCTTCTTTTGAAGTTGTATTTTCTTAAACGTTATGGCATCTTGCTGAGGCAAAATCAAGACCAGAATTGTTCTTTGAGCTTTTAGAAGGAAAAGAGCTCTGCAGGTATGAAGCCATAAGGATAAAATATCCTCGTTAAGTCACATTGCTCCCTGACTACTGGAGCTCAGCCATCTATTTTCCCAAACACACTCCTCCAGCTTTGTCTCGCGTTTGCAAGAGCAACTATGAAAAGCAAACATGAAGAGTGTAAGGAAATCAGGGGAGACAGCCCCTGAGAAGGAGAAAGTGATATAGGAAAGTGTCTCCGTCGGGATTCGTGGAGATGAACTTCTTGGCTTTAGAGTGTTAAGACAGGATCTGCACTCAGCTGGTGTGCTAGAGAGAGACGAAGCCGCCTAACCAAACAATGCACAGAAAGGAGACCCTCTGCTCCTGTGTTTTTCTATCAGCCGCACCAAGGGCTTGGTTTCCTGGCAACCTGCCACGGTGCCTTCCCTCCGCGGAGGCTCGTCTGCCCCTAGGGGGAGCCAATCGGCTGTCAGCCTCCAAAGAGTGCCTGCTCATGGGATGGCAAGCTGGCTCTCTTGCAGAGCGCAATTAAAGCATCTGCCAGGAAAAGATTGTTTTGAGGCAGGTATGCATTTGATAAATTGGTGTTGTGGGCATCCCATGCCAAGGTATCGGCGGTTGCTAATGGACAATTGTGAACTTTCTTCAAACTCCGAAGTCTTAAGCTAAATACAGGGCGGATGTCTATACACAGTACTCTTTAGATCGTGGCAAATAGTACTCTCACCTATTTGATAATAAATCTGCCAAATTCCGATTTTGCAATGAAAAATGCTTGTTTCATTCTTGGTTTCGGTTTTTCTTAACTAGATAAAATTGGTTGAAATGAATATGTAATAATTTCATACATTTTAATACTTCAAAACGTATGACATTTTGCACATGTATTTCCCTACTTCTAATGTTCTCTCTCTCTCTTTCTCTCTCTCTCTCTCTCTTTTTTTTTTTTAATCGAGACAAGGTCTCATTATGTTGCCCAGACTGGTCTTGATCTCCTTTGCTTAAGCAGTCTTCCCGCCTCAGCTGCCTAAAGTGCTGGGATTACAGGCATGAGCCATCATGCCTGGTCTCGAACGTTCTCTTGAGGAAGCAATATGCACAACTAGAAAGTGGGCAGACAGGGAACAGCAGTTTTCACTTGGAGAGGTAAAAGCTGAACATGGCCTTCCATGCATGTGGAAGGCAACTTGGCAAAGAAAAATGCGTCCTACCTACATTCTCTGTTTCTACAACTTCACTTTTTGGACCCACTAACATCAGCTCAGAAGCAAATTCTCCCCACACACTGTGGATGTAGCTTAAATCAAGTCAAAGGGAAGGCCTAAGGGCTAGAGTAGGAAAGTGCCTAACCTTTGCATATGACAACTCACCCAATGACTCGCCTATTTAGAATGGTTCCCATTTACTCAAAATTTGGAAAGAAAGAAAGAAACCAAGCCAAGTTCATGGCAAAGTTCAGCACCAGGAAGAATCTCTTTACTTTAATAATCTCCTCCCATCTTCTTGATTTGATTTTTCACACATTCATTTATTCATCTTACATTCCAGAGAAACTTCTGGTGTAGGCCAAGACAACATCTATAGTTTCATAGAAACTACTCATTGAATTGAAGTAAACAAACTGGAAAGCAAAAGCCAAACAAGCTTGTCCAATCTGCGGCCCGTGGGCTGCAATGTGGCCCAGGGCAGCTCTCAATACTGCCCAACACAAATTCACAAACTTTCTTAAAACATTATATCTTTTTGTGAATTTTTTTTTAGTGTATTTTATGTGTGGCCCAAGACAATTCTTCCAATGGGGTCTAGGGAAGCCAAAAGATTAGACACCCCTGGTCTAGTATTTGTCTGTTTAAACTGTTTCACAAAAGCCAGCAGGAGACACTAGCTGTATTATGAACATCACGTGAATGTTTCTTATCTGACCATACTGCTCAGATATGTTGATTTCCTCCCCCATATATAGTATAAGCTTGCTCCTAGGACAGAATAGGAAAATATCTAATATTATCCTTTGAGTTCAGAAACCTCACTGTGCACACTGATATGCTAGTTTTACATCTTAATGTAGTGAAAATCTAACCTTCCCACCTATGATAAATACACGTAACTTGACCTGTAACTAGATACTTTTCAAATAACACTGACTGGGCATTTATTCTTTTAAAAAATCCCTCTTTAGTGCTAGCTTCTTCCATTCCTTCTGTAATCACTTGCATATGGGAAATGAAACAGTCCATTGCCTCTATTGTGTTACCTTTGGAATCCCACAGGGCTCCCTCTTTACCAAACAAGCAAGGACTATATAAGTAAAATGAGGGCAAATTTTGTAGAACAGCAGGAGATAAGAATATGAAGATATTTTTTCATCTTTCTTTTTTTTTAAAAAAAATTCTTATTTGCAAGTTTGCAAGTCTTTCCTTATGACCGAGTAGCTGGAACTCCATTTGGCATACAAAGGTTTATTTTTTGTCTTATTCATCTCATTGAGAATTAGCTTTAAAAAGGAAAAAATATGTATCTTCTTGATATTAAGTTAGTAATGTACTGCTCTAACTAGTCATAATTTATGCTTGAGTCAGTTTGTATCACAAGTATACTTAGAATAAGAATGCCTTACAAGCATTTACCTTTCAAAATAAAATTGTTTTATGATTTAAAAATATGACAACATTAAAAAATAAATTCTAAAAGAAAAATTATTTTTACATTTTCCACAGCTCTCCCTAGCTCTTATTTTAATGTTTTATGATGTTTACAAGGCTAGAGTACCAGAAGCTTGCTTTTTTTTCTTTCTCATAATTATTCATGAAATTCAATTAACTTGTCATCAAATGAACTATTATGTTATCGTGGTCTTTTTGACCCTAGCAGTCAGACGTCCTGTGAGATACCTGAGTCAAAGTTTTACCTCATCTTCTTCTAAATTTTACTCTTTATGGAAATTAAACCCTTTATGAAGACATCCAAGCATCATTTTAAGCCAACTATTTACAAATCAGCAAAACTATTTATAGCAACATTTAAATAATATAAACATAACGATATATTAAACTCTCTATCCTAACCCTATTTCTCACAGAAAATTTTCAGAAATCGCTCGTAATTTATCTCTGATAAAAAACAACAACACCACTTTCTGGGCCTGTGTTTAACTTCAATAACATTTTTGAACATTTTTGACTTAATGTCAAAAACCCTCATAAACAGTGTCTCTTCAGTCTCTGCCCTGCAGCAGGAAGGACATGCTATCTTCTGCTCACCTTTTAAAAGACACAAAGACCTGCTTGCCTTTCCAGATTTCCCTGATTTTCTCCCTGTTCCCCCATGCAAAAAATAATAATAATAAATAAAAAAAAAGAAAGAAAGGAAAATCTCAGAAACAATAAATAAAACTACAGAAGACAATAAAGGACGAAGTAAAGAGAAAGCCTCAAAACAAAAAGAAAAAAATATGCAGCAGTGCAGTGCTGCTGGTGTGCATGAAATACCCTGTGATAGCCTTTTCCTAATCATTAGGGAATAATTTTTCCTTCTCAAGTGAGAGACCTCCTTAGCCCTTTGAAACCTGGGTTGATGTTTACTAATTAATTTATATAGAATGGTCCCTTAGCAACCATTTCAAACAGGATCTGTTACCTCTGCTCTCTGGGTTTAAAGGAACGCATCCTTTTCCAAGACAACCGTGTTTGTAAAGGCCAGCAGCATGCGGCAGTATTCTAGAGACTGGTATCAAGTGATGCTTCCACAATACTTCAATGATGAAAGAACATCTTAGAAGTTGTGATGTTGCTATTTGATGGTGAAATAAGTTTTTCATATCATTTAATTTGTAGTTATTGTTTTACCAGATGGGAAGACTTTTAAACCAATAAATAATCACTGTCTGCCATGCTGTATATATTTACTTATTTACTGGCTTATTGTCATCTCTCACTTACTCTAAAGTATATAAGCTCTACAAGGAAATGATATTTAGTCTGTTTTGTTCATTGCATTCTCAGAATCTAGTCCCTGGCATAAAGTAGCCACTCAATAAATATTTGCGAGCTGAATAAATGAATACACGAATAAGGATTTTCCCGTATTTTGATAAGAGGATAAAGGACAAAGATAAATAATATTTACAAATTTCTTAAGTCACTCTTTGAAGGGATTTTTAATGAATGATTATAAGTGCTTCCCAGGGATTTACAAATTATAATGGGAATTTGATTTTATTTTCACTGTAGTATGTGTTATGATGGGATCCTCCTATTGTGAACCTTGTCACCTAACCCATATCTCCCTACCCTTACTTATAATGTCTTTTTTCTTTTAATAGATTTTATTTTTTAAAAGCAGTTTTAGATTCATAGCAAAATTTAGAGGAAGGTACAGAGATTTCCCATATATCCCCTGCCCCCACATATGTGTAGCCTTCCCCATTACCAACATTCCTCGGACCAGAGTGGTACATTTGTTACAAACAACCTACATGTCACATCATAATCACCCATAGTCTACAGTCTACATTAAAGTTCACTCTTTCCATCTGGTCCAGGGGTTTATTAGGTTGATAGTTTTTTTTTAATCACTAATGGAATTCTGGAATTCAATATTGTTCTGTTCAGGGTTTCAATTTCTTCCTGATTCAATCTTGGAAGATTGTGTTTCCGGGAATTTATCCATTTCCTCTAGATTTTCTAATTGTGTGCATAGAGGTGCTCATAATAATCTCTAATGATCCTTTGTCTTTCTGTGGGATTATTTGTAAAGTCACCTTTGTCATTTCTGATTGTGCTTATTTGGCTCTTCTATCTTGTTTTCTTTGTTGATCTAGCTAGCAGTCTATTGATCTTGTTTATCCTTTCAGAAAACAAACTTTTGGTTTTGTTGATTCTTTATATGGATTTTTGGATCTCAATTTCGTTCAGTTCTGCCCTGGTTTAGTTCTTTTCTTCTCTAGATTTGAGGTTAGTTTGTCCTTGATTTTCTAGTTCCTATAGGTGTGATGTCAGATTGTTAATTTGAGATTTTTCTAACTTTGTGAGGTAGGTGTTCAGAGCTATCAATTTTCCTCTTAACACCACTTTTGCTGCATCCCAGAGATTTTGATATTGTGTCTCTGTTTTCACTGATTTCAAAGATTTTTTTCATTTCTGCTTCAATTTCTTTGTTTACCCAAAAGTCATTCAAGAGCAAGTTGTTTAATTTTCCTGTAATTGTGTGGTTTTGAGAGGTCTTCTTGGTATTGATTTCTATTTTTATTCCACTGTGGTTCAAGAGTATGGTTGGTATGATTTTGATATTTTTGCATTTATGGAGACTTGCTGTATGACTGAGCATGTGGTTGACCTTAGAGTATGTTCTGTGTGCAGACGAGAAAAATGTATACTCTGTGGTTGGTGTATAGAATATTAAGTGTCTATTATGTCCAATTGATTGTATCAAATTTAAGTCTAGAATTCTTTGTTATTTTTCTGCCTCAATGCTCTAACACTGTCAGTAAGTGTTGAAGTCCCATGTTATCATTGTTTGGCTGTCTATGTCTTTTTGTAGACCTATAAGTACTTGTTTTGTAATCTGGGTGCTCTTATGTTGGGTGAGTATATATTTAGGACAGTTGGGTCTTCTTATTGAATTGAACCCTTTATCATTATGTAATGCCCTTCCTTGTCCTTTTTTACTGTTGTTGGTTCAAAGTCTGTTTTATCTGATATAAAAATAGTGACCTTTGCTCTTTTTAGTTTTCTATTTGTGTGATAGATTTCTCTCTAGCCCTTTACTTTGAGCCTATGGATGTCATTAGATGTGAGATGTGTCTCTTGAAGACAGAAGATGGATGGGTCTTACTTTTGTATCCGACGTGCCACTCTATGCCTTTTAAGCGGGGTGTTTAAACCATTTACATTCAAAGTTAATATTGATATGTAATGTTTTGATCATATTGTGAAGTTGTTAGCTGGTTGCTTTGCAGTTTCTATTGTGTGATTGCTTTATAAGGTGTATGGGCTATGTATTTAAGGTGTTTTTGTGGTAGTAGATATTTTATTTTTATATTTAGAACTGTCTTAAAGATCTCTTGTAAGGCTGGTCTAATAGTAACAAATTCCCTTAGTCTTTGCTTGTCTGGAAAATATATTATTCCTCCACTTATGAAGCATATTTTGACAGGATATGAAATTCTTGGTTGGAATTTCTTTTCATTAAGAATGCTGAAACTAGACATCTAATCTCTACTGGCTTGTAAAGTTTCTGCTGAGAAGTCCACTATCAGCCTGATGGGGTTCTCTTCTCTCTAGCTGCCTTTAAGAGTTTTTTGTTTGTTTGTTTGTTTTGGGGTTTTTTTTTTAGCATTGACCTTGGACAGTCTGATGAATAAATGACTTGGGGATGCTCTTTTTTTAGAGCGACAGGTGTCCTCTGGATTTCTTGCATCTGGATGTCTATCTCTTTATCATGATTAGGGAAATTTTCTTGAGTTATTCTCTCAAATATATTTTCCCGGTTTTTTACTTTTTCTCATGTCTCTCAGAAATCCCAACAATTTGTAGGTTTGGTTGCTTTATATAATCACATATTTCTTGAAGACTTCATTTATTTTTCTTAATTCCTTTTCCTTTATTTTTGTCTGACTGGGTTCATTTGAAAGGCCAGTCTTCGAGTCCTGAAATTGTTTCTTCTGCTCGGTCCAGTCTATTGATAGAATTTTCTATTGTATTTTTTTTTTTTTTTTGAGACAGAGTCTCGCTCTGTCGCCCAGGCTGGAGTGTAATGGCATGAACTCGGCTGACTGTGCCTCAGCCTCCCAAAGTGTTGGGATTTCAGGTGTGAGCCACTGCGCCTGGCCTTCAATTGTATTTTGAAATTCCTTAGGTAAATTTTTCAATTCCAGAAGCCCTGATTGACTTCTTTTAAAAATGTTGATCTCTTCCTGTGTTTCCCGGATTGCTTTAAAAGTTTCTTCTTGTTAATTTTCAACCTTACCTTGCATTTCATTCAGCTTCCTTGCAATCCACGCTTTGAATTTTTTACCTTTTTGTCATTTTTGAGTTTCCATTTTGGTTAGGGATCATTGCTGGAGAGCAAATGTGATCTTTTGGTGGTGTCACTACATTCAGATTTTTCATAGTGCCATAATTTTTGCACTAGTACCTTCTCATCTGGAGACACTGACACTTCTAGTTTTTGTAATTATTTTTGTGCACATAGGAATTTTTCTTTTTCTTTCTTTCCACATAATATTATTGTTCTTTTTTCTTCCTCTTTTGTTTCTTTTTATTATTTTTTCTTTTCCTCTCTCTTTCCCTTCCTCCCTAGGGGCTGAGACTGTAGAGAATGCTGAGTAAGGTCTTTTGGTTTTGCTTCTATAGACATAAGTACTTCTATTGGCAGGTTCTTTATTGGGCTGTGTTGTATGACCTATAAGCCAGTAGATGGCACTTATGAGTAAGTGCTTGCTGTGGCCAGTGTGGCTGAATATACACCTGATCCGTGTTTACTGGGAGAAGCTCTCTGTTACTTCAGACAATGGGCTAATCCATGAAGTGCACAGTGGCCTGAGCTCTCTGCCCAGCCCTGAGGAGACGAGGGGCAAAATGGGTGGGGACATATAAGGCAGGTCTGCCTACAGGTCCTCTAATGGCAGGCACAAGCACCAGCACCAGCACCAGCTCTAAGGGATAATTCAGTAGGCATCCATAAAGCACTTAGAAGCATGCCTAGGTGTGAAGCTGGGAAACTCCCTCAGCCCCAAGTTCTTGCACAGGGGGAGCAGGACAGCCTAAATTCCTAATCCAGAAGAGTGGGTGCTCCTGAGGCCTGGAGAATCTCCCTGCATGTGGAGTGTAGAGTGCCCTCCTGCACCATAATCTCTAGAATTTTTAATATTAATGATTTCCAGCTTATCAATTCTTTATTTCATGGATTATGACTTTGGTGTCGTATCTTGAAAGTTATCCCCAATACTAAGGTCACCTAGATTTTCTCCTATATTATCTTACAGAAGTTTTAGAGTTTTGCATTTTACATTTAGGTTAGTGATTTGTTTCAAGTTTATTTTTGTGAAGGTTGAAGGTTTGTGCCTAGATTCATTTATTTTTTGCCTGTTATTGTTCACTTCGTCCAGCACCGTTTGTTGAAAAGATCACCTCTTCTCCATTGTATTGCGTTTGTTCCCTTTTCAAAGATCAGTTGACTAAATTTATGTGGGTCTATTTCTGGGCTCTCTCTTCTCCTCCGTTGATCTATTTGTCTGTTCTTTTGCCAGTGTCACACTGTCTTGATTACTGTAGCTTTATAGTCCATCTTGAAGCCAGATAGTGTCAGTCTTCCAACTTTGTTCTTCTCCTTCAATATTGTGTATTCTGGGTCTTTTGCCTATCTATATAAACTTTAGAATCAATTTATTGATATTCACAAAATAACTTGCTGGGATTTTGATTAGGATTGCATTGAATTTATAAATCAAGTTGGGAAGAACTGAACTGACAACATGGAGTCTTCCTATTCATGAGCATGAAATATCTTCCATTTATTCTTTGATTTCTTTCATCAGACTTGTATAATTTTTAGTATAGTTTTTTAAATGCCATCTTTACCCAGTTCTGAGGCCCTGCATAAAAGTCAGTGAATTCCTCTTCTTGATCAGCCAAATTAAGTCTATACCCCAGTCACCTCCATTATGGAATTTTCATGAGACTCAGGCCATGATCCCCTTTTGCTAAGCACCTCAGGGACAGGTACCAAACAACTAAAGACAGCCCCTATGCACCAGTGCTTGCTGAACTTATTCAGAGTAGCCAATTGTAAACTCATTTACCCTCTCTTGCCTATTCCTTCCCTTGGAAACCAGCATGTTTGCCCACAGTTCTGCTTTCTTCCTCTGCCTCAGGACTGACCCTGTTGCTTCCCCTGAGTGGTTTTATGTTAGAGGTAGTGGGGTTGGTGGGTATCTGTGTTCTCCCAAGAAAATTGTGTGGGCATAAAACTACAACTCTTTCCAATTAGCCTCTCTTGATCTATGCATGGCCTTACCATACCTCACCCAAGGTAACAGAGTTATTAATGAAACATACCACCATCGCAAGATCTCTCACTGATGTATCGGTGCTTCTTTTTGTGGGCTTACTGTCTTGCTGCTGGAGTGAACTTTGCTGTTCATATGGAAAGCTGAAAGTTCTGGAGAAATAACACCCCCAGAGAATAGCTCTCAGCCAATGGCTAACTGGAATGAGTGTATAAATACTCTAGTTCCCTTCTCCTCAGATCCATTAACTTTGATGCATGCATTTTATGCCACCTCCCAGCCTTT